>NC_000004.12:88163805-88315320 GCF_000001405.40 Homo sapiens | reverse complement strand
AAGCTTTAATTAGAAAGTTATGTTGAATCTTTTTGTAGCTATATCTTTGCCCACTTAGTTGATCCTCTCCTTAGGATAAATTTTCTCAAAAATAAATGCTGTGTTAAAATTTAATTGCAAGTTTTTATTTTTCTTCCTCAACATTTTATTCTGTAAAAGTTTTTTTAAAACATAGAAGTAAAGAGAACAGTATAATAATTCCAATGTACTCATCCATCACCCAGATGCAACAAACATGAACTCATGGCCACACGTCTTTCATCTGTACTCTTACCTACTTTCCCCTCACCTACTCACCAGCGTTTTTTGTTTTTTGAGACAGAATCTCACTCTGTCATCCAGGCTGGAGTGCCAGGGGCATGATCTCGGCTCACTGCAACCTCCGCCTCCCAGGTTCCAGTGATTCTTGTGCCTCTGCCTCCTGAGTAGCTGGGATTACAGGTGCGCACCACCAAGCCCAGCTGATTTTTGTGTTTTTAGTAGAGATAGGGTTTTACCATGTGGGCCAGGCTGGTCTTGAACTCCTGACCTCAAGTGATCCGCCTGCCTCAGCCTCCCAAAGTGCTGGGATTACAGGTGTGAGTCACTGCGCCTGACCCTCAGCAGCCTATGTTGAAGCAATCCAAGTTATTATAAAATTTCATTCATAGTATTTCAATATCTATCTCTAAAAGATAAGAACTATCTAACATAACAATGCTATCACTGCAGGTATACAAAGTTAAACATAATGCAAAAGGTCTGTGCATTTTAACGGTTGTTACATATTGCTACTGTCCCCTTAAAAGGGTACAGCAATTTGCCCTTACAGCCCTAGTTTATAGCAGTGCCATCCTTGATATTATCAATCTTTTTCATATCCATCAATCTATAGCTCTCAAAAATGATGTCTTGTTCCAACTCTCACTTCATTGATTGTTAATGAGGTTGAGCAACTTCTCATTTTATATTGACCATTTATATTTCTTCTTCTACAATTACTTATTCACATTCTCTTCTATTGTTCTATGCATCAATCTTATTTTCATATTGATTTATAAGTTTAAAAAGCAAGAATTTTAACACACATTGCATTATCTATATTGTATATAATAGAAAAAGTCTGAAGATGGATTTTCAAATAAAAGTATAAAGTTCTCATGATAAATACATACCATGTGTATTAGTCTATTTTGTATTGCTATAACAGAATCCCTGAGCCTGAGAAGTTTATAAAGACAAGAGATATATTTAGCTCATGGTTCTGCAAGCTGGGAAGTTCAAGATTAGGCAGCAACATCTGGCAGCTTCCAACAAGGACCTCATGCTTGGTCAAAGCATGGAGAAATGGAAGGCGAACTAGGTTTGTGTGAGAAAGGGCAAAACACTAGGGGCAACTTCATTTTATTTTTTGTATTTCAATGGCTGCAAAGGCACCCTCACTTTATAACAACCGGCTCTCTCAGAAACTAATCCATTCCCATGAGAACTAACCCTGTCTCATGAGAAGGACATTAATTTATCTTAATGACCTAATCATTTAGAGACACCATCTGCCCTGCCAACATTGCCACATTGGAGACCAGTCCACAACATGAGTTTTGGTGGGGACAAATGATATTGAGACCATAGTGAGAGGTGACAGTGTGCTGGCAGCCCTCACAGCCCTTGCTCACTCTCCACGCCTCCTTGGCCTTGGCGCCCACTTTGGCCGTGCTTGAGGAGCCCTTCAGCCCGCCACTGCACCGTGGGAGCCCCTTTCTGGGCTGGCCAAGGCCGGAGACAGCTCCCTCAGCTTGCCGGGAGGTGTGGAGGGAGAGGTGAAGGCAGGAATTGGGGCTGCGCGCAGTGCTTGTGGGCCAGCGCGAGTTCTGGGTGGAGTGGGCTTGGCAGCCCTGCACTCCAAGCGGCTGGCCGTCCCCGCTGGCCCTGGGCAGTGAGGGGCTTAGCACCTGGGCTGGCAGCTGCTGTGCTCAACTTCTCGCTGGGCCTTAGCTGCCTCCCTGCGGGGCAGGGGTCCAGCCCACCATGCCTGAGCCGCCTCGCCACACCCTGCCCCGCCAGCTGTGGGCTCCTGCACAGCACCGCCCCCTGCTCCAGGGCGCCCAGTCCCATTGACCACCCAAGAGCTGAGGAGTGCGGGTGCACAGCGCGGGACTGGCAGGCAGCTCCACCTGCGGCCCCAGTGCGGGATCCACTGGGTGAAGCCAGCTGGGCTGCTGAGTCTGTTGGGGACTTGGAGAATCTTTATGTCTAGCTAAGGGAATGTAAATACACCAATCAGCACTCTGTATCTAGCTCAAGGTTTGTAAACACGCCAATCAACACCCTGTGTCTAGCTCAGGGTTTGTGAATGCACCAATCGGCACTCTGTATCTAGTTACTCTGGTGGGGACTTGGAGAACCTTTATGTCTAGCTGAGGGATCGTAAATACACCAATCGGCACTCCGTATCTAGCTCAAGGTTTGTAAATGCACCAATCAGCCCTCTGTGTCTAGCTCAGGGTTTGTGAATGCACCAGTCGGCACTCTGTATCTAGTTACTCTGGTGGGGACTTGGAGAAACTTTATGTCTAGCTAAGGGATTGTAAATACACCAATTGGCACTCTGTATCTAGCTCAAGGTTTGTAAATGCACCAATCAGCACTCTGTGTCTAGCTCAGGGTTTGTAAATACACCAATCGACACTCTGTATCTAGCTAATCTAGTGGGGAGGTGGAGAACTTTTGTGTCTAGCTCAGGGATTGTAAACGCACCAATCAGCACCCTGTCAAAACAGACCTATCGGCTCTCTGTAAAACAGACCAATCAGCTCTCTGTAAAATGGACTAATCAGCAGGATGTGGGTGGGGCCAGATAAGAGAATAAAAGCAGGCTGCCCAAGCCAGCAGTGGCTACACGCTTGCATCCCCTTCCACACTTTGGAAGATTTGTTTTTTTGCTCTTTGCAATAAATCTTGCTGCTGCTCACTCTTTGGGTCCACACTGCCTTTATGAGCTGTAACATTCACCGCGAAGGTCTGCAGCTTCACTCCTGAAGCCAGTGAGACCACGAACCCACCGGGAGGAACGAACAACTCCAGACGCGCCACCGTGAGAGCTGTAACACTCACTGCGAAGGTCTGCAGCTTTGCTCCTGAGCCAGCGAGACCACGAACCCACCAGAAGGAAGAAACTCCAAACACATCCGAACATCAGAAGGAACAAACTCCGGACGTGCTGCCTTTAAGAACTGTAACATTCACCGTGAGGGTCCGCGGCTTCATTTTTGAAGTCAGTGAGACCAAGAACCCAACAATTCCAGACACAATAGCACCATGGTGCACTATGCAGTCCTTAATAAGTATATGTTTATAAAAACCCATTGAATATACAACACCAAGAATGAACCTCAATGTAAACTATGAACTCTGGGTGATGATGATGTGTCAATGTAGACTCATTGATTGTAGCAAATATAACAACTCACCATTCCCAGCTGTGGTGGCCACAATGGAAGACTCCTTCTGTTTGATTAAACTCTCCAATCAAAAGACATCGAGTGGCTGAATGGAAGAAAAAACAAGACCCCATGATCTGTTGCCTACAAGAAACACATTTCACCTATAAAGATACATATAGACTTAAAAAAAGAGATGAAAAAAGATATCCATGCCGATGTAAACCAAAAAGAGCAGGAGTAGCTATACTTACATCAGACAAAATAGATTTCAAGACAAACACTCTAAAAAGAGACAAAGAATGTCATTATATAATGATAAAGGGGTCAATACAGCAACAAGATATAATGATTATAAATATATGTGCACCTAACACTAGAGCACCCAGATATATAAAGCAAATATTATTGGAGCTAAAGAGAGAGCTAGACCTCAATACAATAATATCTGGAGTCTTCAACACTCCCCTTTCAGCATTGGGCAGATCTCCTAGACAGAAACTCAATAAGGAAATATTGAACTTAATCTGCACTATAGATCAAATGAACCTAATAGATAGTTACAGAACATTTCATCCAATGTCTGTAGAATATACATTCTTTTCCTCAGCACATTGATCATTCTCAAGGATAGACCATGTGTTAGGTCACAAAACAAGTCTTAAAGCACTCAAAAAACTGAAATCATATCAAGCATCTTCTCTGACCACAAAGAAATACAATTAGAAATCAACAACAAGAGGAATTTTGGAAATCATACAGATCCATGGAAATTAAACAATATGCTCCTGGATGACTAGTGAATCAATGAAGAAATTAAGAAGAAAATTGAAAAATTTCTTAAAACAAATGATAATGGAAACACAGCATAGCAAAACCTATGGAATACAGCAAAAGCAGTACTAAAAGAGAAATTTGTAGCTATAAGTGCCTACATCAAAAAAGAAGAAAAACTTCAAATACATAACCTAACAACACATCTTAAAGAACTACAGAAGCAAGAGCAAAACAACCTCAAACTTAGTAAAAGAAAGGTAATAATAAAGATCAGAGCAGCAATCAATGAATTTGAAATGAAGAAGACACACACAAAAATCAATGCAACAAAATGTTGATTTTTTGAAAAGATAAACCAAGTTGACAAACTTTTAGCCAGACTAATGAAGAAAAAAGAAAAAGAGAAACCCTAAATAAATAAAATCAGGGATGACAAAGGAGATATTACAACTGCTATCACAGAAATTCAAAGAATAATTAGTGACTACCCTGAGCAAGTGTATACCAATAAATTGGAAAATCTAGAAGAAATGGATAAATTCCTAGATATATACAACCTACCAAGATTGAACCATGAAGGAATCCAAAAACCTGAATAGACCAGTAACAAGTAATGAGATTAAAGCCATAGTAAAAAGCCTCCCTGTAAAGAAAAGCCCAGGACCCAGGTTTCAACATAAAAATCATAAAAGGAGACAAAGAAGACCATTATATAATGCTAATGGGATCATTTCAGTAAGAGGATGTAACAATTGTAAATTTATATGCACCTAACACTGGCACACCCAGATATAGAAAGCAAATATTAAAGCTAAAGAGAGAGATAGACCCCAGTGCAATAATAGCTGGAGACTTCAATATCCCACTCTCAGTATTGGACAGATCTTCCAGACAGAAAATCAAC
The DNA here is from genome assembly GCF_000001405.40 of Homo sapiens. Lineage (NCBI taxonomy): Eukaryota > Metazoa > Chordata > Mammalia > Primates > Hominidae > Homo > Homo sapiens. Next base: position 88,310,220 of record NC_000004.12, on the reverse strand, counting down.
AAAGAAATGTTGAACTTAATCTGCACTATAAACCAAATGAGCCCAATAGATATTTACAGAACATTTCATCCAATGGCTGCAGAATACACATTCTTCTGCTCAGCATGTGGATCATTTGCAAGGATAAGCCATATATTAGACTACAAAACAGTCTTTAAAAATTCAAAAAAATCGAAATTATATTAAGTGTTTTCTCTAAGCATGGTGTAATAAAACTAGAAATCAATCACAAGAGGAATTTTAGAAACTATACAAATACTTGGAAATTAAAGAATATGTTCCTGAATGACCAGTGGGTCAATGAAGAAACTAAGGGAAAAAAATTAAAAATTTATTGGAACAAATGAAATAACAAATTAGCCAAGTGTGGTGGTGCATGACTTTAGTCCCAGCTACTCAGGAGGTTGAGATTGGAGGATCACTTGAGCCCAGGAGGTCGAGACTGCAGTGAGCTGTGATCATCCCATTGAACTCCAGCCTGGGCAACAAAACAAGATCCTGTCTCAAATATGTATATATTCTTCTACTAAGTTTGAGACAGGATCAAACTTAGTAGAATAAAAGCAATAATAAAGACCAGAGCAGCAATCAATGAATTTGAAATGAAAATACACAAAAAATCAATGAAACAAAAAGTTGTTTTTTTGAAAAGATAAACAAAATTGACAAACCTTTAGCCAGACTAATGAAGAAAAGAAATAATAAAGACTAGGTCAGAAATAAATAAAATTGAAATCAAGAAAACAATAGAAAAGATCAATGAAACAAAATGTTGGGGTTTTTTTTTCCAAAAGATAAACATAATTGCAAATATTTAGCTACACTAAGAAGAGAGAAAACCCATATAAATAAAATCAGAGATGAAAAAGAAGACATTACAATCGACACCACAGAAATTCAAAGGATCACTGGAGGCTACTGTGAGTAACTATATGCCAATAAATTGGAAAACCCAAAAGAAATGGATAAATTCCTAGGCACATACAACCTACTAAGATTGAACTGTGAAGAAATCCAAAACCCAAACACACAAATAACAAGTAATAAGATCTAAATTGTAATGAAAAGCCCCACAGCAAAGAAAAGCCCAGGACCAGATGGCTTCACTGTTGAATTTTACCACATGTTTAAAAAACAAATACCTAATCCTGCTCAAACTATTCTAAAAAATAGAGGAGGAAAGAATACTTCCAAACTTATCCTACAAGGTTGGTATTACCCTGATACCAAAACCAGACAAAAACACATAAAGAAAACAACAGGTTAATATCTGTGATGAACGTAGGTGCAAAAATCCTCAACAAAATACTATTATAGCAAACCAAATTCAACAACACATTAAAAAGGTTATTCATCATGACCAAGTGGGATTTACCCCAGTGATGCAAGAATGGTTCAACATATGCTACTCAATCAATGTGATACATCATATCAAGAGGATGAAGGAAAATGCCTGGTGTGGTGGCTCATGTCTCTAATCCAAGCACACACTTGGGGAGGCTGAGGAAGGAGGATCTCTTTGAGTTTGAGACCAGCCTTGGAAATATAGGGAGATCTTGTCTCTACAAAAAATTAAAAAATTAGCCAAGTGTGGTGGCACATGCCAGTAGTCTCAGCTACTCAGGAGGCTGAGGTGGGAGAATTGCTTCAGCCCAGGAGGCAGAGATTGCTATGAGCCAAGATTGCACCACTGCACTTAAGCCTGGGCAACAGAGTGAGACCCTGTCCCCAAAACAACAACAACAACAATAACAACAATGAGAATGAAGGACAAAAACGATATGATCTTTTCAATTGATATTGAAAAAGAATTCAAAAAAATTCAGCATCTCTTCATGATAAAAACCATCAAAAAACTGGGTATAGAAGGAACATACCTCAACACAATAAAAGCCATATATGACAGACTCATGGTTAGCATCATACTGAATGGAGAAACACTGAAAGCCTTTCCTGTAAAATCTGGAATATGACAAGGATGCCCACTTTCACTGCTGTCATTCAACATAGTACTGGAAGTTCTAGTTAGAGCAATCAGACCAGACAAAGAAATGAAGGAGATCCAAATTGGAAAGGAAGAAGTCAAATTATCCTTGTTTGCAGATCATACACTCTTATATTTAGAAAAACCTAAAAACTCCACCAAAAAACTGTTAGAATTGATTAGCAAATTCAGTAATGTTGCAGGATACAAAACCAACATACAAAATTCAGTAGCATTTCTATACATAAACAGTGAATTGTTTTTTCTATTTTTATGAATAACAATTCTAAAGTTTATGTATTTATGTATGTATGTATGTCTTTATTTTGAGAGAGGGTGTCACTGTCTCATCCAGGCTGGAGTGAAGTGGCTGGCACAATCTTGGGCTCACTGCACCCTCTGCCTCCTGGGCTCAAGAGATCCTCCCACCTCAGTCTCCTGAGTTGGCCTTTGTGCAAGGCTGCAGTTTTTGCTTTCACTTGACAGGATAATGGTCATTTGATTTATTTAATTGGGTGCCTTTAAGCCTAGGTTTATGGCTCAAAACCATTATGCAAACTGGGATTGTCATATTGCTATTAATTTTACCTCATATGTTCCCTTTTTAAACTTTGTATTTGTTACTTGTTAAACTTTTGCAGAAGTACGATTTCTTTTTTTTTTTTTTTTTTTTTTTTGAGACAGAGTCTCACTCTGTCACCAGTTGGAGTGCAGTGGCACGATCTTGGCTCACTGCAACCTCCGCCTCCTGGGTTCAAGCGATTCCCCTGCCTCAGCCTCCCGAGTAGCTGGGACTACAGGTGTGTACCACCATGCCTGGCTAATTTTTTGTATTTTAGTAGAGATGGGGTTTCACCATGTTCGCCAGGATGGTCTCAATCTCCTGACCTTGTGATCCACCTGCCTTGGCCTCTCAAAGTGCTGGGATTATAGGCGTGAGTCACTGCGCCCCACACCCGGCAAGAAGTACGACTTCTAACAGAATAACGCCAGCCTAGCACTTTGAGTTCATAGCGAAAGAATATATAACAGACAAAATGAAACTCAATTATGTATAATTATGTATAATTATGTATACTCCAGGTATACTTAGCCTGAGAGCCACTCCTTTTAAACCTCCCTTATTGCTCAAATGTGGCTTAAAGGGTTTTGACACTCACTCTAGCTGCCATTTACTCTCTCCAATGTGGAATCAGACCACCAAACCAGAATGGGTCCATCCTGGCACCGAGGAACAATCAAATCCTTAGCATGGTAAGGACATACTCAGAGTGGGTAAGGGAAAAAAACATCTAACTACAGGATGATTGATCGATGATGTTTTCAGAGAAAGATCTTAATCAAAAAGGGGAAATGTGAAAGTTGTCAGAATCAAAATGGAGTAACTGGCGCTAACAAAAATCATGACAAATAGATCTGGAGAAGGCTATGAAGACAGGGTTCTTGCACATAAATATTTGATAACAAAAACTATCACAAAAGACTGCAAAAACTGTAACCTTGCACAAAGGCCACTGCAACCTTACAAAAAAAAAATACTTCTGTGAGGACATCTGTCCAGCAACTGCTTGACCAATGTCAGACTGGAGTCACTCTTGTTATTGATGCTGGTAGCCAAAGATCATTATCTTAAAACAATTATGTCTTTTTAAAAAAAAAAAAAAACTTTTGTCTTCCGTTACCTCCCTGAATATACATGTTAGTTTACTATGTCACATAAATTCCCACTGCAATGCCCTATATCTGAATAAATATTTTCCTTTAGAGATCTTCTCTCCATTTATTATGTAAGTTGACAACGCTCAGCTATAAATGGTGACACCAAGAGATGAAACCAAGTCCATCTGCCATGGAACCCAGCTTAGTCCATTTTAACATTAGGCAGGAAGGTCTGTGAAAAAATGCTAGGAGCAGAATGATGCAAAAAGTGTAGTTGTGGAGTGAACAAGGGGTACATTTGTTTTAAGGAAACCAACCTGTGGTATATAGCTGGGCTGATAAAAAAACTGAAGGGGCACATGAAGGGCCATTGTAGAGTCAATGGTTCAGCTCCTTAGATCAGCACAAAACCAACCATTTTCAATTTCAGGAAACCAAGGTTCAAATGTTGTTTTGGAGAAACAAACCCTCACTATTGACCCTTAAAAGAGTTAAGGAACATTAGGCCATCTCAAAATGTTGCCAAAATCTTGCAACATCTATTCTTATTTATTGTTTCAGCTTATGTAACTGTAGGTGAAGTTATACACCCTCTTATCCAAGGCACCGATCTCTCCTGTTGTCTTACTGATGGATGCTTTTTGATGTTTTCTAGCTCCATATATCCTGACCTTTTATGACGCATAGGAAAAGAGATCCAAGTACAGGACTAATTGCCACTTCTATTTGAGTGAGCTATCTTTTTATTTCAATGTTTTATTACAAAATATATTGATTTACATGTATGCATTTTCCTTTTTTTTTTTTTTTTTGGAGACAGTTTCTCACTCTGCTACTCAGGCTGGAGTGCAGTGGTATGAACATGGCAACACAGCTCACTGCAGCCTTGATCTGCTGGGCTGACACGATCCTCCTGCCTCAGCCTCCCATTTAGCTGGGACCACAGGCGTGTGCCACTGCACGTGGCTAAGTTAAAAAAAAAATTTTTTTTGTAAAGATGGGGTCTCACTTTTTTTGCCCAGACTAGTATTGCACTCCTGAGCTCAAGCAGTCCTCCTACCTCAGCCTCTCAAAGTGCTGGAATTATAGGCATGAGCCACTGTGCTCAGCCTACATGCATTTTTAACTTATGGAAATGGTATTGTATTATATATCTCCTCCTGGGTTTTACATTTTTCCACTCAATGCTTATGTATTTAAAACTCATCTATGCCACTTAGCCTACATTTAAGCTGATGCTGCTCACCGTGGTATTAGACTCCAACATAGACACCCACCACATTTTACCTGTCCACTCTCCCAAGGATAAGCACCCAGATAGCCTCCAGCTCCTTGTCACCCAGAGCTGTACAGAGCTGTGATACAGCAAGCATCTATGCACATGTTCCCATATAACCCTGTGTGAAAATTTCTTTGGGCTATATACCTGGAGTAGAATTGTTGGATCATAGAATATATATTTTCTTTTCCTCTTTTTTTGAGAGAGGGTCTCTCTGTGTCACCCAAGCTGGAGTGCAGTGGTGCAATCATGATCAAGTGATCCTCCTACTTCAGCCTCCAAAGTAGCTGGGACCGCAGGCACGTGCAACCATAGCTGGTTAATTTTTTAAAAAACTTGTTGTGGAGACAGTGATATGGTTTGGCTGTATCCCCACCAAAAATCACATCTTGAATTGTAATCCTCATAATCCCCATGTGTCAAGGGCGGGACCAAGTATGGAGATAATTAGATTATGGGGGTGGTTTCTCCCGTGCTGTTCTCCTGATAGTGAGTGAGTCTCATGAGAGCTGATGGTTTTATAAGTGTCTGGAATTTCCCCTGCTTGCACTCACTCCGTCCTGCTGCCATGTGAAGAAGGTGCCTGCTTCTCCTTTGCCTTCTGCCATGATTGTAAGTTTCCTGAGGCCTCCCCAGCCATGGGAAACTGTGAGTCAATTAAACGTCTTTCCTTTACAAATTACCCAGTCTCGGGTATTTCTTCATAGCAGTGTGAGAATGAACTAATACAGATGAGGTCTCACTATGTTGTCCAGGCTGGTCTCAAACTCCTGGGCTCAAGTGATCCTCTCTCGCTTTGGCCTCCCAAAGTGCTATGATTATAGGAGTGATGCTCAGCCTCCTATCTCACTTTTTAATAGCTTTTATGAAGTATAATTCATCTTCCATATAATTCACTCGTTTAAAGTGGATAATTCAATAGTTTAAAATACATTCACAGGGTTGTGCAACTGTCACCACAATCAATTTTAGAACATTTTCATCACTCCCCCCAAATCCAGTATCCATGAATATTTACTCCCTATTTCTCCCCAAACTCCCAGACTCCTCAGCCTAGACAACCATGAATCTACTTCCTGTGTCTACAGATTTTCCTATTCTGAGCATTTCATATAAATGGAAGGGCACAGTATGTGGCCTTTTGAAACTTGTTTCTTTTACTTAGCATAATGTTACAAGGTTCTTCCATGTCATAGCATGCATCAGTACCTTATTCCTTTTTTCTTTCTTTTTTTTCTTTTTTTTTTTTTTTTTGATGAGCTGGAGTTTCACTCTGTCATCCAGGCTGAAGTGCAATGTTGCAATCTTGGCTCACTGCAACCTCCACCTCCTGGGTTCAAGCCATTCTCCTGCCTCAGCCTCGCAAGTAGGCATGTGCCACCACGCCCAGCTAATTTTTCTATTTTTAGTAGAGATAGGGTTTCACCATGTTGGCCAGGCTGGTCTCGAACTCCTGACCTCAAGTGATCCGCCTGCGTAAGCCTCCCAAAGTGCTGGGATTACAGGCGTGGGCCACTGTACCTGGCCTTTTATTCCTTTTTATTGCTGAATAATGTTCCATCCTATGACTGTATCACATTTTCTTTATCCATTCATTGGTTGACAGACATTTGGGTTGTTTGCAGTTTTTGGCCATTACGGATAATCTGCTATGTACATTCATGTCCAGTTGTCTCTTGGTATCTGTGGGGAACTGGTTCTAGGACCACCATGGATACTAAAATCCAAGGATACTCAAGTGCCTTAGTATTTGCATATAAACTACACACATCCTTTGGTCCACTGTAAATCATCTCTAGATTACTTATAATACCTCATACAATGTAAATACTATGTAAATAGTTGTATATTGTATTTTTAATGTTTATTACTGTTTATTGTATTATTTTTTAATGCCCCATCAGCTTTCAGGATATTATTATTTTTTATCTTTTTCCCCTAAATATTTTTGATCCATGGTTGAATGCAAGGATGTGGACTTCATGGACGTAGAGGGCCAAGTGTACATGGTTTTACAGAGGTGTGTATTTGTTTTAATTTCACTTGGGTATATACCTAGGAACAGATGGGTCGAATAGTAACTCTATGTTTAATGTTTTGTATATTGCCAAACGGTTTTCCACAGTGGCTGTACCATTTTGTATTCTCATCAGCAATATATGAGAATTTCTCCACATCCTTGCCTACACTCATGTGAAGAGGAAAAGCAAACAGTTTTTTCTCTCTACTCACACACTCAACGTAGAACACTTCTGTGACCAGATACATAAAGGTATTTCCTGACACACCAACTTCTCTAGTGGACACCAACTGGGTGTCCACTAGAGAATTCAATTCAATTCATTTCAATTCTGACACTATCTATCTTTAGATAGTATCAGATCCCACAGGCTGTTTCCCACAAGACTGCCCCCAACTTCCGACACCAATCCAAGTAGGTTGTCACCTATACTTCTGACCAATGGGCTATAAAATCCCCCGACACGTTTTCCAGAGTTTGGTGGGTAGAGCTGAAAGTTTCAACCCTCTAATCACTTGGTCTTTCTAGTGACCAGTCCCATCCTGAGGCTATCTCGGAGCCCCACCCTAGATAAAAAATACCAAAGGTTTTAGGTACTCTGTGACAGGAACTGGGGACAAAGACCAAAAGTATTTCATATTATACTACAATTTGTTAATGTCCATTTTTAAAAATTACAGCCATCCTTTTAGGTGTGAAGTGGTATCTCATTGTAATTTTTATTTGCATTTCCCTAATGACTAATGATGTTGCATCTTTTTGTTAGGTTATTGGCAATTTGTATATCTTCTTTGGAGAACTATCTATTCAGATTCTTCCCCATTAAAAAAATTTTTTTGGCTGGGCGCAGTGGCTCACGCCTGTAATCCCAGCACTTTGGGAGGCCGAGGCGGGTGGATCACAAGGTCAGGAGATTGAGACCATCCTGGCTAACACGGTGAAACCCCGTCTCTACTAAAAATACAAAAAAATTAGCTGGGCATGGTGGCAGGCGCCTGTAGTCCCAGCTACTCAGGAGGCTGAGGCAGGAGAATGGCATGAACCTGGGAGGCGGAGCTTGCAGTGAGCCGAGATGGCACAACTGCACTCCAGCCTGGGCAACAGAGCAAGACTCCTTCTCAAAAAAAAAAAAAATAATAATAATAATTTTTTTTTAGAAACAGGGTCTGACTGTCACCCAGGCTGGAGTGCAATGGCATTATCACAGCTCACTGCAGCCTCAACCTCCCAGGCTCAAGCAGTCCTCCCACTTCAGCCTTCCAAGTAGCTAGGACAACAGGCATGTGCCACTACACCCGACTATTTTTTTTTTTTTCTGGTAGAGATTGGGTTCTGGGGATAGGGAGTCTCACTGTGTTGCCCAGGCTGGTCTCGAACTCCCGGGCTCAAGTGATCTTGATGCCTCGGCCTCCCAAAGTGTTGGGATTACAGGCGTGAGCCACAGAGTCCAGTCACCAGTACAGCCATTTTTTCATTGAGCTATTTGTCTTTTCATTACTGAGTTGCAAAAGTTCTTTATATGTTCTGAATACAAGCCCCTTATTAGATATATGATTTACAAATATTTTCTTGGGCTAATTGCCTCTTAGCTTCAATGTCAAAAGTGGAACAGTATGTGAAGGTCAAAACAACTTCATCTTAGATGGGAGGTCAGAGTAACTCCATCTTGGACGGTAATCCTCCATGTTGACTTCAGATTAACCTCACTTCTGGGAATGCCTCTGAGATGTCCAGTTCATCTATTGTCCCTTGTGTGAGAGCATGTACTTACCATCAATCCTGCCCTCAGGGAAAATTCCTACTCCTTCCCTCCAAAGCCAGCCTGCCCCTCACCTCTGGTATATAAACCCTGGGTCTGGGAGGTAATAGTGTGGGGATCTGCCATCTTTTTTCACTGCCTCTGGTGACATAGACATGGCTTCTGTTCATAAGTCTCTATTAAATGTTTCCTTCTAAGAAATTGGATTTGTCAACCTCTTTCTTTGACTTCTCAGCTTCCTCGGATTTTGTGGTAGGTTTGGATAGACTGCCCACCACAGAAAAACCTGCCACCACTACTTACAGGATACTCCTGGGTAGATGTAGATTGGATTGACAAGGAGTGGAAGAAATTTCGAAAGCAGATTCTAGATTGGTTATGAATTCAGTTCAACTAATTTCCCACACTAATGAACACTACCTATGTACAAGCTATTTTAAGCCCATAGAGAGAAGTTGCAAGAAGTTTACAATCACAACATAAAGGAGTAAAGTGGAGACTGCTAACATTGCAAAATACTATAAGTAGAAATTGTTTTAAAATGTCAGTATCTCTAAGGCCTAGCAAATGTTCAGCACAACACCTAGTCCACAAACATTTGCTCAATATAACTAAGCTGAGATAAGAAATAACTATACGGGCCAGGCGTGATGGATCATGCCTGTAATCCCAGGACTTTGGGAGGCTGAGGTGGGCAGATCTCTTGAGGTCAGGAGTTTAAGACCAGCCTGACCAACATAGTGAAACTCCATCTCTACTAAAAATACAAAAGTAGCCGGGCGTGGTGGCACATGCCTGTAACCCCAGCTACTTGGGAGGCTGAGGCAGGAGAATTGCTTGAACCCAGGAGGCGGAGGTTGCAGTGAGCCAAGATCGCACCATTGCACTCCAGCCTGGGCAACAAGAGTGAGACTCCATCTCAAAAAACAAACAAAAAACTACATGGCAGAAAATTGAAAGTAACACAGAAATATAGACATCTGCTAGTATTGTAGCTGTCTAAATCAACCCTTGAAATGGAATAGGGGCAGAAGATGAGAAAAGTGGGGGCAAATGACAAAGAAAGAAAGAGAGATGAAAGGAAGGACTTTAAGAACATATCAAGGAGACCTGTGGTAAGATGAAGAAAACCTGGTGGGCAAAGCCAGGTTGACATGTGCTTCTAGGGATTAAGAATTTTTAAAGGGCAGGTGCCGTAGCTCACACTTGTAATCCCAGCACTTTGGGAGGCCCAAGCAGGCGGATTGCTTGAGCCTAGGAGACCAGCCTGGGCAACATGGCGAACCACATCTCCATAAAATATGAAATTTTGCTAGGCATGGTGGTGCACACCCATGGTCCCAGATACTTGGGAAGCTGAGGTGGGAGGATTACTTGACCTTGAGAGGTTGAGGCTGCAGTGAGCCGAGATCACACCACTGCACTCCAGCCAGAGTGAGACCCTGTCTCAAAAAATTTATATATTTTTAAAAACACTCACATAGGTAAAATCAGGTGAGCTCTTTTTGGACCAACAATTAAGGCTTCAGTGGATGTGAGGTTTCTTACTTGCCCCACTGTTCTCTGCCACACAATGTTTAATGTAGACAACAGAAAACATTGAAGGATATAAAAGGCCTAATTTTTCCCTAAGTAGCTAAAGAGGAAAGCAACAGAAACCATGCCATGAAGTGAGAACAGAAGTAGTGAGATTAATTTTAAATTCTATTTTCTTTTCTGCTTTCATGACTCAGCTAGGCCCACAAATGACCCTTGGAATTTTCTGATAGTAGCCAACTTTGCATGATGTTTACTTGATATAATTTCCCACTGGACAGTCCTCAATGCAGTAGAGGACTCAAGGAAACCGAAGATTCTTAATTCATTCATTCACTCACTCACTAACTTATCTAACCAATATGTATTCAGTACTTGGGCTCTGCTGTAGGTGCTATGGATGCAATAATTTATAAAATGAAGATCCACCCCTCCCGCTAGTCTGAGGAAAGGCAGACATAAATAAATGAGTAAATATCTGAGGTGCTAAGTGCTCTGAAGATGGGGATTGGCAAGGGAATAGATGGTAAAAGGAGCTGTTTTAGGCAATGATCAGGGAAGAGCCCTCTAATACAATTATCAGTGACCAGAGATCTGAATGAAGCAAGAGAATGGTCCCTGTAGCTGTCTCTTTTTTTTTTTTTTTGAGACGGAGTCTTGCTCTGTCACCAGGCTGGAGTGCAGTGGGGCGATCTCGTCTCACTACAGCCTCTGACTCCCTGGTTCAAGCGATTCTCCTGCCTCAGCCTCCCAAGTAGTTGGGATTACAGGTGCATGCCACCACGCCCAGGTAATTTTTGTAGTTTTAGTAGAGACGGGGTTTCACCGTGTTGGCCAGGCCGGTCTTGAACTCCTGACCTCGTGATCCACCCGCCTCGGCCTCCCAAAGTGCTGGGATTACAGGCGTGAGCCGCTGCGCCTGGCCTGTAGCTGTCTCTTGCAGAGGCCAAGGGACTCAGAGCAGAACCACCCTGGGGAGAGTAGAAGACAAAGTCAGAATAGAAGCCAGGAATAAATATACAACATTGTTTGCATTAACACTGAACAGTTTCTGTTTATATCCTTGGCCGAGTGTGATAGCTCATGCCTGTAATTTCAGCACTTTGGGAGGCCAAGGTGAGAGGATCGCTTGAGCCCAGGAGTTCAAGACCAGCCTGGGCAAAACGGCAAGACCCCATTTCTACAAAAAATAAAAAAACAAAAAAACCCCAGTTTATCCTTTTAGGAAAGGGGATGCAAAGATGTGTAGTAGCTACCATCTGGCCTAGCAATTCCACTTGTAGATAAATATCCAAAATCATGAAATCGTGTGGCCACACCAACACCTATATAAGAATGTTTATAGCAGCATTATTTGTAATAGCTAAGAAGTGGAAATAACCCAAATGTCCATCAACTGATGAACAGATAAACAAAATGCAATATCTACCACTTAAAAAAATGAAAATGCAGAATAGAACCTCACTAAACATAATGTTGTGGGTTAGCAACGGCTATCTGGACCAGTGGCGTGTGTGTAAAATAATTTACCAAGGCAGTTGTAGATAAAGAAAGGCAGATTTATTAGAGAAAGTATAAAAATATGTTGCCAGGGAGCAAGTGGTAGAATCAGAAGAAGAGCTGGCTATCAGGAAACAAAGGCTTGCTGGAGATTTTATAGACTTAGTGTTTATGCTGTATGCTCAAGAGGGCTTTGTGCAGTACTGATAATGCCAAGGTTGCGGTGAGCTAACTTGCAGGTGTCTGCTGATAGCTGGGTGCGGGATGATTGTGAGTTATTTGTGTAGAAGGGCTATGTGTCCCGGACCATGAAGAAAGGCAGACTTACAGCTTATCGGCTTTCTCTTTTTGCTTTCCCTTGGTCCCACCAACCTAACTCCTTTTCTCTAATGAGGGCTCCACACATATGTGTAAGCGATCATTTGTCTTTAATAAGGTACCAAAAACTTGCTTTCTCATAGCAGAGTAGTCAGGATAGTTGTTCTTCTTACATGGTGCCAGACTTCCAAGAGGCAGGGAGTGGAAGTTGCTAGTCCTCTAAAAGGTTAGGGATTACTTCACTGTATTTTATTTGTCAGAGCAGTCACAGTCAGCTCAGATTCAAGAGTACAAAAATAGAATTCACCTCTCGATGGAGGAATAGTATGTGAGCACAGGAAGGAAAGAACTGGAGATAAGCTATCACAAAGATAGAATGGGTTGGGGAGCTAGAAAACAGATTTAATATGTCAGGAGCCACTAACAACTGAAGATCAATCTAGAATTAAAGTAATTAAAATTCAGATATACATGATAGTGGATTGAATTGTTGGTCTCAAGCCTTCACCCTCCATGCATCCACACACTTGTCATATGGAGAGTAAACTTCCCTGCCTCTTGATTTTGGGCTTAGCCATATTGTATTCTTTATCTATTGCTGCATCCCAAACCATCCCCAAATTTAGTGGCTTAAAACAACTATGCAACAATTCTGCAGGTTGGATAGGGGTTCTTTTGCTGCTCTTACCTGGGATCACTCATGAAGTTACATCCAGCTGTTGGGTCAGCTGAGAGCTGAGCTAGGAAATTGGGATGCTTGGGCCTCTGTCCATGTGGGCTTTCATTCACACAGAGGTTAATCTGAGCTGGGCTTCCTGATCCTCCTGTCTTGGCTGTAGCATTCCAAGAGGGTGTGAATGGGACTGCAAGGGTCTTATTAGACTACGGCTTACAAGCCATAAATTTCACTTCTACTACATTCTATTGGTCAAAGCAAGTCACAAGCTCATATTCAAGGGGCAAGGAATACATGCAGGGGGAGAAAACTCTACCTCTTGATGGGAGGAACTGAAATTGATTTATGGTCATGTTGAATCTACTGCATATTGATGGCAGCAGTGTGCCATCTGCAGCAGCGGCTGCAGCAAGGAGGCACAGCTGGGGCTGCATGCTGCATAAACCTGGCGGGAGCTGAGGACAAATGGGAGACCCAATCCTTCCAAGTTGGAGCAGGAGCTTCCTGTGTGTGACTGTCACCACCCAAGCCACAGCTATGGATCTGGGCATCCCTGTGCTCTTAGGGCCTGGGGACTAGGCAGGAGCCCCACCCTCCTGGGCACAGCTGCATCTCTCCAAACTGTGGCTGCAGACCCAGGCCTCCTGTTCCAAGGAGCAGGAAGGAGCCCCACTCTCCCCAGTGCAGCTGCAGCCACCCAAACGGGCTGTGGACCCAGGCATCCCTGCACTCTTGGGGGCCCTGGAAGGCCACCCTTGCCCTCACAGGCTCAGAAATGCCTGCTCCCACTGCCTGGCTTCTCTCTGCTGTCAGTGCCTACTCTGATCTCAGAACAAAGTCAGGGCCAAACCTGGGTGCTGTCACAGCCAGGCTGGGTGTCCACACGCTCGGGGCAATGTTGACACACCAGCCCCCTGCTACCTTGGCCCCCTCCAGATTTTGGGTGCTGACAAGCATAGGAGGGAAGCTGAAGTGGGGGGATGCTGAAAGCAGGTTGGCACTGGTCTGAATGCACCCCTTGGCACCTACAGCCTGGGTGCCATGAACAGCAGCAGGATGCAAACATCAGGACAACCAGCTGCAGAGAGGAGCTACCCACTCTAGGGCTTCCTCTCTGCTGAGAGCAGCAGACATTAGGACGACCAGCTGCAGACAGGAGCTACCCACTCCACGGTCTCCTCTGAGCTATTGTCAGTCAATAGAGCCCCTCTTTGTCTTGCTCACCCTCTACTTGTCTGCATACCTCATTTTTCCTGGGTGCAGGACAAGAACTTGGGACCCACCAAATGAGGCTAAGAGTTGTAATGCAAACAGGACTGAGACATGCCCCTTGCTCACAACGTTGTGGGCAAAGAGAAGGAAAGAAGAGGTGCAGCCCTTTGGGGAGCCCAGACTTGGCAGCCCCCCGATCCAGGACTGTGATTCCCTCTTTGGGGCCCTGAAATTCCTGGCATCTTCAAGCTTCTGAGTGCCACCATGTTCCCAGTGCCAGCTGTGGAAGCTGCTTGTGGTGTACCTGGTCCAGCCACAGACTTGCAGGGTGCCAGCACCTGTGCTGCCCCTGCCCGCTGCAGCAGGGGCATGTCTGACTGTCCAGTGGTCGGACACCATGCTTGCCCACACACCCTTCACCGCTCCACGCAGTATCCCTTGGCAGGCATGGGATTCAGGCCAGTAGCATGAGCCAAGAGCGGCCTACCAGGCCAAGTGAGTGGAATGAACCTAGCAGGCCTGAGCAAACTCAGGCAAAGGCACAACTGGCCAGATAGGTTTCTGCTGAAAAAAGTGACACCCCAAAGATCCCATAACGATATGTGACTCCTTTTGGCCAATGGCATGCAGACATCATGACAATGTGCCCAGTTCCAGGTCTAGGTGTTAAAAACCCTTGAGTGCTTCCTCTCAGTCTCTTATGCTTCTGCCATCATCACAAGAACAGGCCTCGGGTATCGTACTTGTTCAAGAAGAATGAGACATGGAGGGCAAAGTTGATTCGGCCAACCTGCAGCCCTGCAGTGAGATGCAGAGCTGCCCAGCTAAGTTAAACCCAGATCAGCTAAACCCCAGCTCAGCTGTAGAAGAACATAATAAATTGGTATTGTTTTAAACTAAAGGAAGAAAAAAAATCCTGTTTTTTTTTTCTTTTTTCCTGAGACAAGGTCTTGCTCTGTCACCCTGGCTGGAGTACAGTGTCATGATTATGGCTTACTGCAGCCTTGAACTCCTGGCTCAAACAATGTCCCCTCCTTACCCCGGACTACAGGTATGTGCCACTTGTAGTGGCCACCTCGATTTTTTTTGGTAAAGACAGGGTCTTACTATGTTGCCCAGGTTGGTCTTGAACTCCTGACCTCAAGTGATTCTCCCACCTTGGCCCTCATCAAGTGCTAGGATTATCAGCATGAGCCACCACACCCGGCCTGCAACTGGACAAATTATAATGCTAACCCTCAAATGGCTCAAAGATTGGGCATAAAACCCAAATCGGCCCCATCAGAATTTTTTTTCTTTTTTCTTTTTTTTTTTTTTTTTTTTTTGAGACAGAGTCTCACTCTGTTGCCCAGGCTGGAGTGCAGTGCACGATCTCCGCCTCCCAGGTTCACACCATTCTCCTGCCTCAGCCTGCCGAGTAGCTGGGACTACAGGCGCCTGCCATCATGCCTGGCTAATTTTTTGTAATTTTAGTAGAGATGGGGTTTCACCCTGTTAGCCAGGGTGGTCTTGATCTCCTGACCTCGTGATCTGCCCACCTCGGCCTCCCAAACTGCTGGGATTACAGGCGTGAGCCACGGCGCCTGGCCCAGAATTTTTTTTTCTAAGAATCCCTCTCCTCCAAAGCCAGCCATAAAATGTAGAAACACTATTCTAACTTTCCCTTGCCTTTCCGTGTAGGAGCTGGCCATAAAAATATTCTCTGACCTACCTTGTCTGATAGTAGGTCATACAACCCTCATTCCAGAAGGGTGCTGTCCTATACCCAAGAGGAAGGAATGCCATGCAGAGACCCAGAAGAATGAACAAATAGGCCTTGCTGGGTTTCCCTACTCAATCTATCACCATTAGATCCTTCTCTTTTTGTCCAATCGCATTTCTACACAGCAGTCCATTTTTCATCGAACCTAAACATACAAATAGACAGTTTTCTCTGGGTCTTTGGCTTTCATTTCTGAAGCCTTTCATGTCACAAAAAACTTTGATTAAATAAATTTTTTGCACCTTTCTCTTGTTTGTCTTTTGTTATAGGAGTGTCAGCCACAAACCTTCTCATGAATGAGAAAAGGTATCACATATTTTCACCCCTGTGCAGGGCTATTGTGGTTCCCCATGTTTACCAGAGACCCAGCTTCCTCCCTGGAAGGAAGATGGCACTGCTCTGCCATCTCGACTATGTCACTTCATGATCCAAGATGATTCTTAAGTTCCAGGACAGCAGTGACAGAAAGGTATGCCTGCATCCTTGTGTTGCGGCTTTCTGGAAGTTCACATATATCTACTTACACCTTATCAGCACTGAAGTTAGCAGTACAGCCAGACTAATTATAGGAAAGGTTATAAAACAACCTTATATTTTGGTCAGCAATGTGCCTACATAAGAATCGGGGTTCTGTTACTAAGGAAGAAGCATAAAATGGAAATCAGATTAGACATTTAGCTGTCCATGCCACAATATGTAATGGATCTCACCTCCTGGGAGCAACTATGTTAGTTTCTCAATAATGACTACACTAGTATGTCTATGATCTCTTTCAGCTCTGATCTATCCATTCCTATTTTCAGCAGTTTTGTTATATTTTCAAATTTTCTCAAATAAATCTCATAATTTTTCATGTTCAGTACCTGTACAACTAAGATTTGTAAATTCCTTTAAGATGGCAAATATGTTTTTATATATATATATATATATATATATATATATATATATATATATATATATATAAAATTGCACAGGACCCACTGTGGCTGCTAAATGATGACTGAAGTCAATTATTAAGACAGTTCACCTTTCCTCATTCTCTTTCTTTTAGAAAATAGGCCAGGCGTCGTGGCTCATGCCTGTAATCCCAGCACTTGGGGAGGCTGAGGCAGTCGGATCACTTGAGGTCGGGAGTTTGAGACCAGCCTGTCCAAAATGGTGAAACCCCGTCTCTACTAAAAATACAAAAATTAGCCAGGCGTGGTGGCGCACGCTTGTAATCTCAGCTACTCAGGAGGCTGAGGCCTAAGAATGGCTTGAACCCGGGAGGCAGAGGTTGCAGTGAGCCAAGATCATGCCACCGCACTCCAGCCTGGGGAATAGAGTGAGACTCAGTCTCAAAAAAAAAAGACAATAGATTAATAAAGAAAATCTTAATATAAGTTCTAGTCTTATTGAATAACATGTCATTACTTGATTCTTTCCTGGTACTAGAAATGGTCAGAAACTTATCCTTTATGTACAGTGTATTTCATTTGTGGAATGTATCAAAACAGAAATCTGACTTTTGTTAAAGTAATTAATGTGTTTTAAACAGAGATTATTCAGAACATCTTTTTTTTGTTTGTTTTTTTAAGAGATGGGAGTCTCACTCTGCCACTCAGGTTGGAGTGCAGTGGTGCGACCATAG
Source organism: Homo sapiens (assembly GCF_000001405.40). Lineage (NCBI taxonomy): Eukaryota > Metazoa > Chordata > Mammalia > Primates > Hominidae > Homo > Homo sapiens. The sequence continues at coordinate 88,292,885 of NC_000004.12, read as the reverse complement.
CTCCCTACACTCTAAGTTCTGGGCTCAAGTGATCCTACTGCCTCAGCCGCCTCCCAAAGCACTTGGATTGCAGAACTGAGCCACCACGCCTGGCCCAGAACATCCTTAAAATGTTTAACCTCGCTGAACTATGTACAGAGAGGAAATGTAGTAAGACGATATACCTTGGAGACTAAGGGGCCTAGGTGAAAATCCCTGCTGTTCCACTGTATGGCCTAAGGCACGTCATTAACTTTGTGCCTCAAAATTTCCTCATCTGTAACATTGGGATAGTACTATCTATATCAAAGGGCTATTGCGTGGATATATGTAAGGTTTCTGTAAAAACTGACATTGAATAGAGGTTAATGGTGGGCAAACAAAGACATTTATAGGAAGAACATATAAACTATCAATCAGTTCAGCTTTCATTTTCTATTTTTGAGAGGTAAATAGCACAGTAGTTAGGAATATAAACTGTGGAGCCAAACTGCAAGGATTCATATCCTGGCTCCATCATTTACAAGCTGTGTGACCTCAGGCAAGTTACTTAACCTCTCTCTCTGTGCCTCATCTGTAAAATGGGGATGACAATAACAACACTGGCCCTTCTCTTAGGGCTAATGTAAGGATTAAGTGAGTTGATACATGTAGAACATTTAGAACAGTGCCTAGACAGAGGAAGCATTTGTAAGGGTTAGTGTCATGGTTAATTTTATTTGCCAATTTGGCTAGGCCGAGGTTCTCTAATATTTTGTCCAATGCCAGTCTAGCTGTGAAGGTATTTTCAGATGGGACTAATATTTAAATCAGTAGACCTCATCTGGAAGATTATCCTCCATATGGGGGTAGCCCTCAACCAATCAGTTGAAGTCCCTAAGAGAAAAAGACTTAAGTCACCCAAAGAAGCAGGAATTCTACCTGCTCCATGGCAGGAACAGCCCATGGAAGAGTTTGAATACCAGCCTCAGAAGTTTAGGATTTTTTTTTCCCCTACTGGAAATGGGGAGCTAGTGAAACTTTGTGAAATAATGTCATAAGATGAAAAGAGTATCAAAAGGTGTTGGATTCGTTAGGAGGAGGGAGAAACTAGGGAAAGAGAGAACAGGTAGAAAATAGTACAGCCTTGCATTATACAGGGGTATCCAGTTTGTTACTGGAAGAGCAATGAGCATCTTTTCCTTTACTCTTTACATTGAAATACATTTCAGGCCATACAGAGGTCCCTCATGTGGGCAGCCTGCTGTCCCTCTCTTGGTCCCCTTCCCGTTTTTCCTTTGCTGTAATTCTCCTTCTTCCCAGATTCCAGCTTCCTATCACTTCGTATGGTCTATGAGAAGACAGGGTGGGGTTAGGAAACATCATTTTTGCTGTCATTTGTGACCTGGGTAAGGTCTTTCCTGGTTTCACTGTGGCAGAATGACTGTGGATTCTTATTTCCTTATATTAATTAAAGTATATTCAAGAAAACAGATCTCTCTTGCACATTTCTCATAGCACAAAATTTGAATTTTTAAACTTTTTCTGGAGTATTTTTGCATATAAAATCTAGATTGCCCAAAGCCACAATAACTTATAAAACTGGCCCTGGTTTAAAGTCTATATCTAACACTGCTAGGGAAAGAAACATAGCTGGTTCCTTTCCCAGAGTATGTCAATTAGCTGGAAAAATAATACTTTCTTTTCTGCCATTGGAAGAGAAACTGACCAATAGAAAAGCAGTTCAGCACCTACACCCACTCGGTACAAAATAAGGCGGTGTGTTTGTACGTGCATTTGGTTGCTTGACAACCAGTGACAAACAGGCTTTTCATCATCTCTTACAATGTTACCTTGATATTCCAAACTCTAATATAAAGGAGACTCAGAAGAGAGCGATGAGTTTAGAAAACTGGACATCATTTCCAATAGGATATAAGCATACACACTTCCAGTGTTACAGATTTCAAAGACAAAGGCAGTTTCTCTTAATACTGCGTGCATTTTTCTGTTGTTCAGCTTGGACAAAACTAATTATTTATACATTCACTTCATTCCACTGACAAGAAAAATATTTATTGAATATTCTTTATAGGGATTACAAGGGAATTTTTGGCCTGTTTCAGCCATATTCTAATAGCGCATTAGCAGATATTACTTGGCAATAAACATTGACTTTTAGATTATCCAAGGTATAATTTTCACTGTGTTATTATGCACCATTTCCCACAGCTAGAAAGATACAACATTAATTTAAATGTGTTTGTATGTTGCTTTATAGGGTTTTCAATTTTTTAAACTACATATTTATAGGCTTCTTCAATGCACTGTAAAAGCTTCAAAGAATAATAACACTGCTTATTTTTATGGGACACTTATGTTCTCTACCTAATTGATTTCTGGAAGTGATTATATAGGTTAGCCAGGGCAGGTTATATTTAGTGCTGTTTTACAGATAATGAAACAGAGGCACAGGAAATTGGGTATTTGCTTGAGGACCCACATGGGTCAAAAGCAATGTTAGCCCTGAAGGGCTTCGGATTCAAATATAAGGAATGTTTTCTATCTTTTCAAGATACTTCTTGAATTAGAAACTTGTTTTCTCTTTCTCCATTGTTTCTTGGTAGCTTTGTATAATATTCAACCACACTGAATAACACTATACTTTTTCACTTGTAGCATTCATCATACATAGTTGCCTACCTTCAAATTTTCCTTCCAATTTTCATGAAAGCAGAGACCAGGTTTATATTGTTCATTTATTGCCATGAGTCCACAGCCTAACATAGTTTCTGATAGATAGTATGATCTTCATGAATATTTATTGAATAAATGTATGAAAATTTCCCTTAGGCTAAAATTACCCCAAGAACAATTCAAGTAAATAATTTTAAGTTAATTTTAAGTTAGGGTTAATATTTCTATCAGTTGAGATAGGATACATGAAGTTAGGTTAAGATCCAGTAACAAACTACATCAAAGGTTTGTTTCTTGTTCATGTTCCATGGCTATCATAGGCTTGCAGTGGAATTCTCTTCCTTGGAGTCATTCAGGGAGCAGCCATTCTCTGGAACATTGCTGGTTGCAATGGCAGAGGTGAGTGAACCTTGGAGGGTCTTGCACAGGGATACGAAATGCTCACTCAAAAATTACCCCATCACCTCCACTCACAATTCATTGACCAGGACAAGTCACAGATGCCTGCCTTCGCCTGGCACTACTGGCTTGGGTGATGAAGAACAGTAAACATTTAGCAAACAATGCTAATAATGACTATCATATTTCGCTTCCTTGATTTTGAGCATTTTGTGATTTAAATAAAACACAATTTTGTATAACCTTTCTTACAAAATACATTTACAAAATATGATTGTTCTCACAACAGCTCTGATGGGAAACATGCAATTAAAGGCTTGAATAAGGGTCAAATAGAATGAATAATAGTCAAATAATCGGAGGTGGAAATGGAAAGACATTTCAAATCTCTGTAGCATTGGTACTGGTCGAAGTTTTTTTTTTTTTTTTTTGAGGCAGAATCTTGCTCTTTTGTTCAGGCTGGAGCGCAGTGGCATGATCTTGGCTCGCTGCAACCTCTGCCTCCCAGGTTCAAGTGATTCTCCTGCCTCATCCTCCCGAGTAGCTGGGATTACAGGTGCACGCCACCACACCCAGCTAATTTTTGTATTTTTAGTAGAGACGGCATTTTGCCATGTTGGTCAGGCTGGTCTCGAACTCCTGACCTCAAATGATCCACCCTTCTCGGCCTCCCAGAGTGCTGGGATTACAGACATGAGCCACTGCGCCTGGCCTGAAGCTTATTTATTCCAAATTTTTAGAGGTAAATTATACAGGGTGGGGGAAGCAACAATCATATTTTAAAATAAAATCATTGCTGCAAGTTTAATTGCATCCAAGGACAAGATTTCAAATTCTCTCTCTCTCTTTTCTTTTCTTTTTTTTTTTTAAAGAGACAAGGTCTTGCTTTGTTGCCCAGGCTGGAGTGCAGTGGCATGTTCATAGCTCACTGCAACCCCAAACGCCTGGGATCAAGTAATCCTTCCACCTCAGCCTCTCAAGTAGTTGGGACTACAGGCATACATCACCATGTCTGGCTAATCTTTTTTTTTTTTTTTGTAGAACAGGGGTCTCACTATCTTGCCCAGGCTGGTCTCGAATTCCTGGCCTCAAGCTGTCTTCCTGCCTTGGCCTCCAAAAGTGGTGGGATTACAGGGATGAGCCACTGCAACAGACCTAAAAATTCTCTATGTCAGTGTTTTGGCAATTATCTTGGTAACACAGAGAAGGGACATCTGGGCTAGCAATTCAGGACAGAGCAGCCTGAACTGTGGAAAAAATACATCCTAGTATCCCAGGCCCATGTTTTAGGCATGAGGCCAAGAGTAGCCTACAGATACTTTTCTAGAAAACTGCTGATTCTGAGTATACAAAAATGTCCATATCTAATTTTAACAACAAATGATTCATTAGTGAATATTAATAATTCTGCAATTATACATACCACCCACCCACCCAAAGCCCTGTGAATTGTTTTGGGTGTAATTTTCTGATAGCCAGTGGTTTTCAGCAGATGGTCCAATTCTTTAAAATATAAACTGAGCTGGGCACAATGGTGCATGCCTGTAGTCCTAGCTACTCCAGTGAGGCGGGAGAATCATTTGAGCCCAGGAATTCAAGGCTATAGTGCACTATTATCACATTTGTGAATAGTCCCTGCAATCCAGCCTGGGAAACACAGGGAGACCCTGTCTCTAAAAAAAAATAAGTAAATAAAATAAAATATAAACTGAATAAAGAAGTAGCTCAACTTAATGAATGTACGGAGTGCCATATCCCCTTGATTATTTTGTACATTGTGCAGTGATCTGTCATGCCAAGTCAGCCTCTGTGGTGAATTCTTTTCCATTTTTTAATTTTTTGTCAAATACCAAATAATGATTTCCTTTACACATTATTCACATTTTAAAAGCTTTTATTTTAGGTTCTGGGGTACATGAACAGGTTTCTTATACAGATAAACTGCATTTCATGGGGGTTTGGTGTACCAATAATTGTGCATTTTATTTTATTTTTTTGAGACGGAGTCTTGCTCTGTCGCCCAGGCTGGAGTGCAGTGGCGCGATCTCGGCTCACTGCAAGCTCCGCCTCCCGGGTTCACGCCATTCTCCTGCCTCAGCCTCCCAAGTAGCTGGGACTACAGGCGCCCGCCACCACGCCGGCTAATTTTTTGTATTTTTAGTGGAGACGGGGTTTCACCGTGTTAGCCAGGATGGTCTTGATCTCCTAACCTTGTGATCCACCCGCCTCGGCCTCCCAAAGTGCTGTCACCTAGGCTAGAGTACAGTGGTGAGATCATGGTTCACTGCAGCCTGGACCTCCTGGGCTCAGGTGATCCTCCCACCTCAGCCTCCCGAGTAGCTGGGATCACAGGTATGCGCCACCATGCCTGGCTCATTTTTGTATTTTTTTGTAGAGACCATGGTTTTGACATGTTGCTCAGGCTAGTCTTGAACTCCCAGCTCAAGTGATTGGCAGCCTTGGCCTCTCAAAGTGCTGGGATTACAGGCATGAACCACTGTGCTGGCCATGAATTATTTTTGTGGTGTATTTAGCTATGCTTCAGAGATTCAAAACCCAGAAGCATATAATTCAAAAGAAGTAAACTGCTGGCTTTAATTTTAATGAGCTGTGGTAGAGTGTGAAATGGTGTGATTTTCAAAGGCAATTTCAAGGACTGTTTTAGTATCAAAGATATTCTTCAGAACAGCCTAAGTGGCTTTGCTTATCATGTGACTCTGGATTCCAGTCTGTTTTGGTACAAGGATTTAGCAAAGTCATGATGTTCTCAGATGCTGGGCATGCAAGTGGTTATAAAAAAGGTCAAAACTCCAGGACAATTCAAAATATTTTACACTTCCAAGCTTAAAATTTCCCACATCTTTCTTGTTACCAAAATTTTTCACATTTGTGAAAGCAAAGTCCTCATTATCTGCACCAAATTTTGATCCAAATGATTGAGATATTGCAACACATGATACTACATTATTGATGAGCAGATTTTTAAAAACTTAATAGTAACTTAGCTACCAAAATACTCCATCAAATGAAAGCCATCACCAACAGATATGTAGTAGAATGCTCATAGTAGCACTATCTATAATGGCTCTAAATGGCAAACTGCCCTAATGTCCATCAGAAGAATGAATTCATAAATTACAGTATATCCACAGAATGGAAAACAAAATGAATGATCTACAACTGCATACAACAATATGGAAGAATCTCACAAGTGTAATGTTGAGTCCAAGTAGCCAGAAACAAAAGAACACATACTTTATGGCTTTATATATAACAAGTATAAAGATAGGCAAAACTACCTATGCTGTTGAAAGTCAGCATAGAAACTCCCCTTGGAAGAAGGCAGTGCCTGGAAGGCAGGTTGATGGGGTTCCCAGGTATTAATAATGTTTTGTTCCTTGATCTGGGTGCTGGATACAAAGGTGTCTGCAGACTGTGAAAATTCATTGAGCTGTCTACACTTAGGATATGTGCACTTTTTAAGACACATGTTTCAATAAAATTATTATTTTTTTAAATTCCACGCCAGGTACAGTGGCTCATGCCTGTAATCCCAGCACTTTGGGAGGCTGAGGTGGGTGGATTGCTTGAGTTCAGGAGTTCAAGACCAGCCTGGGCAACATGGGGAAGCCCCATCTCTACAAAAAATATAAACATTAGCTGTGTATGGTTGAGCGTGCCTGTAGTCACAGCTACTTGGGAGGCTGAAGTGGGAGGATCACTTGAGCCTGGGAAGCAGAGGTTTCAGTGAGCTCAGATAGCGCCACTGCACTCCAGCCTGGGCAGGAGTAAAACCCTGTCTCAAAAAAAAAAAAAAAAAAAAAAAAAAAAGAAAGAAAGACAAAAGAAAAAAAAATCCAGGAAGTCTATGAAAAGACATCAACTCAACATAATATTACTCAAGGTTATTACTATAATTTGTGAGCCGTCAATATGAGAGTCACTCTCTAACCTGGTTATTAAATGCACTGGATTCAAAACAGTTGTCCCTGGCCTAGAATAACTAAAATGCCAAATCAAGTTAATTATTTATCTTTAAAATCTCTAATCTCTCTGCTCTTCTCTCCCTTCAGTGATATTGTCATAGTTTAATCAAAGTCATCTTCCACCTTAAATTTCATCTGTCATCATCTCCTAATCAGTTTCCCAATAGCTTATTTTAACTGTTCTTTGCACACTAACCAAAGTGATGTAAAGTCTAAACCCAGACCCTTTCACTTCTTTTTTTCGAATGCCTCAATAGAAGCCCATTAAATTTAAAATGTAATGCCAACTCCAAGCCCCTGTCTGCCTCATCTCTCTCACATCATGCTGTTCTTTCCCTCCCTCAATATGCTGGAGACACTTTGGCTTTCTTTCTGTTCTTCCAAAACGCCGGGCTGTCTCACCGAGAGACCTTTGTCTGCTGTCCCCTCTGCCCAAAACAATTCATCATTTTATTGGTTCCATGGCTGAATGACTGATGGTTTAAATGCCATCTTATAAAGTTCTCATATAACAATCTTATCTGAAGTTATCCTCCAGTGTCCACACCATGCCTATTTCTTTCCTTGACATGATTAATTACTATTCTATGTGCTTGCTTACTTGTTGGTTTTCTCCCTCTTCTTTGTTAGACTGAAAATTCTATGAGGGCAGCTATCGTGTCTAGCTGTGTTAGGGGCGTATCCCCAGTGCCTAGCAAATGTATAGCATACAAGACGTCCTTCAATAAACACAGAAATACTTGTTTAATGAATTAATAGACATTCCCTAAAGATCACAAGATACCTGTTCAGCCACGAAGAAGACTGCACTGTGCACTGCTGTTCAAAGACATGGCAGTGAAATCAGATGCCTTTCAAACTCTAAGCCTAAGCAGTATTGGCATTCCGTTCTCGGTTTCCTGGCTGTCACAACTACAGTCCCTTAGCCCGAAGCGAAACCCCCTCCGCGCTCCGCCCGCTGGCTAGGTACCAAGTCTCGCGGCCCCACCCACCGCGCAAGCGCGCCCCCTCTTTGGCTGGGGAGCTAACCTCGGGAGGGCGGGGCGCCGCCGCGAGCCACCACTGGCACAGGGTGACGTCGCTCCGCCGCGCAGCTGGAAGCCTGCGAAGTCAAATAGCAGCCGCGGGGAGGCTCGTTCCCATCGGCATCTGTGACTGGCTGCGATCGAGGGCCCGGGCGGCCGGCCAGCCGTCTCGCCGAGTGCGGACTGGCCGGATCTGCTGTCAGTCAGCGGGAACAGACTTCTCCCTCTCCATCTGGTCAACTGCGGGAGAAAAATTTTCGAGAATTTCCAGCAGGCAAGGCAGTGGCCGCTTTGACTGCTTGCTTCGGAGATCCGAGACGACGGAGAAGGCACTCTTATTTACCGACCAAGAAAGCTCCTCCCCCGTCCTCCGTTAGCTAATTAAAACATTTTTCAGGGACGTAGCCATCCAGAGGTAAGAGCCTAGAGAGTGCAATTCATTTATTTCTGCTAACCATGTATGCTGTTCTTTATTGGCGGTCGCGGAATGGAGAGTAAACGGAGAAGGGTTTCCCGGGAGGTCGAAGGGGAGACGTCGGTTTCCGTTCCCCCGCCCCCCGAGTCGGCGCTTGGCCGGCGGCCTCTCGGAGTTCTCAGAGCGTCGCTTTCTTCCCTTTGGAGGTCGTGAGCAGCTCGTCGGGGTGAGGCGGGGCCCAGCTGGGCTGCCTGCGCCCCGGGCGGCGGGTTTCCAGCCCAGACTGCGCTCGGCCTTGAATGTGGCCGCAGGCTGGAGGGCCAGCGCGGCGCGAGGCGGGCAGGGTGGGTGGGCTGGGACTGGAGACCCTTGCCCGAGGCCCCGGAAGCGAGGATGCTGCGGGGTGGGTGCCGCGTTGCCTCCCGGGCGAGGGAAACGTGGCGACAACGGGCTCGGTACGCCCAGAGGGAGGTTGGGAGGCGGAGACCTGGCGGCAGAAGGTGCCGAGGGAGCCCAGCTATTTGCGAGGCTTCGCAGGCAGGCGGGCGTGTGTTCTTCCCACCGTGTGTCACCCTGACCACCCGCCTGTCAGGGCCAGCGAGCCGAGGCCAGGATCCTGAGCTGTACCCAGGTGAGCTTTTCAGGAGGTCCGGCATCGTGAAGGATGCACAGCCCCGGCTGGTTTTGATCCGAAGACTTGGGTTTTACTTTGCGCAGGGAGCGCTGTAGTACTCAAGGCGTTGTAGCTGGTGATGTCTTTTTCAGCAGCCGCTTTCTGTAGATGAGGGAATTCACCGGATGTGACAAAGAGGCTCCAGGTGGAAATAGCCAGGGAATTTGCAGTCTCAAAAGCTCCACGGGCTTTTCTGAGCCTCCCACTGCTAACGTGCAGCAAGGCCTCATCGGTTCTTTCCGTCAGGGCGGAGGAATGAGGCTGTCCTTCGGTTTCAGAATGAGCGACTAAAGTGACAGATTACAATGACGATGAAAAAGAGCAATGAGACCGGTAGCAATGGCTCACGCCTGTGATCACAGCACTTTGGAAGGCCAAAGCGGGCTTGAGCCCAGGAGTTCGAGACCAGCCTGGGCAACACATCGAAACCTCGGCTCTACAAAACATACAAAAATTACCCGGGCGTGGTGGCATGTGCCTGTGGTCCCAGCCCCGGAGGCTGAGGTGGGAGGATCTCTTGATCCTGAGTGGTCGAGGCTGCAGTGAGCCGAGATCGCACCACTGCACTCCAGCCTGGGCGACAGAGCAAGACCCTGTCTCAGAAAGAAAAAGAAAAACAGCCATGGTTTGTGGTGTTCTGGTTAGGCAGCTGTGGCAGGAAGAAGAGCAGCACGTGCGTGTGTGTGTGTCTGATAAAATACCTTAGTTACAATATTTGAGTAGTGAGTTCTCGCTAATAATTTTTTCTTGCAACCTTAGTCATTACTACTGATCACCCAGGCAAATTCCTTGACTGCAATCCTTAGAGACGAGGAAAGAAGAGAGGAGAGTGGCTGGTGACATAATAGACTGTGAAGGAAAGTTCTTAAAGGCATTATAAAGTTACAGGTTTGGGATATAGTCTGTGGCTTGTATGCATATTTACTAACGTGTCTTAAAAGATATCTATGGGAATAGAATACTGAGTACTTTTCACTGCTCACATTTCACACTTTTCTCCAGTCACACATCTGAACATAGACATATTCACATTAAACCTAAGGGGAGTCCTTTGGAGTTTTTATTGTTGTTTTCTTTTTTCCCCTCAGGTAAAGCAGTAAATTTTCTTTCCCTTCCTCCTAGCAGGGTATTGAGAAAGAAGGTATTGGGGTCCCAATTAGCTGAAATACATTCTGGAAATTTCCATACTATTTGAATTTACTGGGATGCCTTAATTGATTTTCTAAAAAGGTCGATAGGTAAATATTTGGTTTAAGAATATTTAAAAGGGCTGTGTTCTCATTGTGGAAGTTGTAGATACCTAAATGCCACTTCATAATGGGCAGATAGGAATGCTTTCTTAAAATATTTTTTCTAGAGGGATAAAATCTAAGCAGGTTTCAGAACTTTAGAACTCCTGAATAATTTTGGCATGTGCTTAAACTGCCCTTTTGACCTGCTTTTAACATACAAGAACAGTTTAACTCAAATCCAGTGCACCTTCCTGCCAGAGAAAGTGCTTTCCTTTTGGATGACTTGACTTCCAAAGATTGAATATAATGTTAAAATGGTTTATAAAAATAAACTAGCCATGTTTTCCGATCAAAAAATTGACCTAAATCTCCCCTGCTTACTTAAAAAGATTCCTTCTCTCTCTTAGTTTGTGGAATAATGAACTCATCCCAATTTTTAATTGCTGAACTGACAAAAGACAATCCTTAGGTGTTTGCTAGTTTGTTCTCCACTCTTTTTGTTTAGAGAACACTGATTGCTTTTTTTTTTTCCTTAAGGTTTTTGTTTTTCACATCACAAGTTCTACTCCCCTTGCCTTGCTGGTCAAAGCATAGTCATTCCCATGGGCATCGGCAGAGCTGTGGGGTCTATGATGGCAGATCCCAATTGTGGAGTTCTGGAGGAGGAAACTTTTCTTAATGTGCAGGTTTAATTCAAAGTTGTTATTTACTTTGGGAACTCCAGCTGCCTTTGAATTGTTTCTTAGGGAATATGGAGGGGATTGATATGATTTAGTTACATTGCAGATGGAAAAGGACATGGAGCCAGTTCGTAACATCTCGTTTACCTAAGCGATGCCGACCTGTTTGTTTGTTTTTTATAAACTAGCTATATATCTGGGTCACATTTCATCTCTGCCAATAATATGCCTTAAAGTAGGTGGTTTCCTATGACTGCCTGCTTTCTGAGATGATTATAGAAACAATACACGAGGAAGGATGCCAGGTTGATGATTGATTTTAAAATACGCAGGTTTTTAGCCTTACAGAAACTGCTCAATTTGCATTTTATCTCATTTCTTAAAAATGTTTCCAGTGGATATTTGTTCTCTGTGAGAATGCAGTTCTATTTTATTATTTAAAAAAAAATTGGGGGGAGGATAAAGAGGAGATAAAACGGCAAGAATATACTAGAACAGTTGCAGAAAAACTTCAATATTTATTTATTTGTAATTCCAGAACTCTGATTTAAAGTAGGTGCATGACTGCAAAGTAGCTCAAGGCTGAATATGGCATATATACTTTCAGACCGAAGCCAAAAGAATAGTATTTTGCTAATCTCAAGTTAACTCTTCAAATACAAATATTTTCTAATAATTGTATTTCTTTAAAGTTCTTTTTTTTTTCTATATGATATAAAGCTGCTTTGGGAATTATCTCCAAATAATTAGTACTTCCATTACCTGGTAGATTGTATTGTAGTTTGAAGTCTCAATTCATCACCTATAATTAACATAATTGGGTTTTTAAATTTTTTTTAACACACCATTGCTGGCTTGAATCCATAATTGTTGCTGAATAAAATCTAACTCTCAATTAGAAGCAAAAGAACAAACATCTCTTGCAATGGAATGTGTTATTTCTCTCTCTCGCTCTCTCTCTCTTTTTTTAAATAGACAATGTCTTGCTCCATTGCTCAGGCTGGAGTGCAGTGGTGTGATCTTAGCTCACTGCAGCCTCTGCCTCCCAGGCTCAAGCAATCTGTCCACCTCATTTTTGTACTTTTTGTAGAGACAGGGTTTCACCATGTTGCCCAGGGTAGTCTCAAACTCCTGGGCTCAAGCAGTCCTCCCACCTCAGCCCCCTTAGTAGCTGGAACTACAGGCATGCGGAACCACGCCTGACTAATTTTTGTATTTTTAGTGGAGACAGGGTTTTGCAAAGTTGCCCACTGGTCTCCAACTCTTGGCCTCAAGTGATTTGCCTACCTCGGCCTCTCAAAGTGCTGGGATTACAAGTGTGAGCCACCGGGTCCGGCCATGTTAATTCTCTTTGATAACCAGAGATGCTGTGTCTCTGCCACTCTCCAACCCCCCAACAATGTTGTCTTACGAAGAAATGAATTTCAGCCTTCTATGCAGGATCTTGGCCAAAAGGCCAAGAAGGGATGACTTCCTAAGTCTTTGATGATACATTACTTGTTTTGGTGGCCATCTTTATTCTAAATTCTGTGACAGCAGAGCTCATATTTTTTTTAATTGCTTAAATATCTAAAGATTGAGGCCAGTCTCTGTGGCGCATGCCTGTAATTCCAATACTTTGGGAGGCTGAGGTGGGAGGATCACTTGAAGCCAGGAGTTCAAGAGCAGACTGGGCAACAAAGTGAGAACCCATATCTACAAGAAATTAAAACAAATAAACACCTAAGGATGTTCTTTGGAACCTCATTCTTTCTTTTGACTGTTTTACCCACCGAAAGAAGTAATGGCCTTCCCTATACATAGCTAGACTGATTTCCAAAAATTCATTGGAAAGTAATTGTTTGAAATCTGTAGTGCATTTTCTCATAACTGCACTCAAGCTGGGTTTCATTTGTGTATGTTTATACCTTTTGGAAAGATACATTTTTTCAAGTTCATTTTTTATTGTGAAATAATTTAAACATAAGATTGAGAATAATATACTATCTGTAGACCATCCACCAACATCATCAAACCTTAGTATTCTGCCATCTTTTCAAGTTGATTTTAAAAGAATAAAGTAATAGAACAAAATCCTATGGAGACAAATTTTTTATTTGTGTGGAAAATTCCCAGAAACAGCTCTACCTGCAGTGGGGTAGGAGTTCCCCTGGGTAACACCCTGTAATGCCAAGAGAGGTTTTAGGATTGAGTTTCAGGGTGGAGTCCAGAAATGGGGGTGTAAAGTAATCGTTTCAAAGAAGTGTAGTCTCAAGTGTCGTTGGGTTGTTAGGGTTGGGGAAAGGAGAGCTGCAGCTGTGAATGTAAATATATAGATCACTCGTTCAGAAATCAGGGCTGCTTGTCACAAATGCAGTGCTGCCAGGTTCCTGAGATCATACCCACATACCCTCCTAGTGAGAGAGTCTGCTAGGATGGGGAGCATCAAAACTGGCTTATCTTTGTGCCTCTGGGGTGTTTGCACACCAATTTATATTTACCATAGTAATATAGTATGTAAAGCTTAGTAGGTTAAGAAATGTTAAAATAAAACTTAGATTTATCCTAGATTATGTTTTTGTTAAAACTTGGCCATTCTTTGGAAACAGAACTATTTTAAGTATTCTATTAGCCTGTTATTTTTTCCTGAAGAGACTTTGTTGCTATTGTTAATATTTATCCCTACCTTTTCTTTAAAGCAATAGAGTTAATGAAGGGAAGTATATTTATTTATACCTGTATTCTGTGTTCTTGCTACTAGAAGTGTAACTTGGGGACCAGCAGCTTCTGTATCACCAGGGTGTTGGTTAGAAATGCAGAGTGACTCCACCCCATAGCCACTGGGTCAGAACATGCATTTTAACAAGTGATTGCAGGTTCAAGTTTAAGAGATACATGTTCTGTGTATGTGCACACTGTTAAATTTTTATAGAATTTAAATGCTGTGAATGCGGTAGGAAAATCGATTCATTTTTGATCCACTGTTCTTAGAAGCAGGCTACTGGATGCCTACCCAATATATAACATAAATATATGTATTTTCTGTCAAATCCTTTATGAGCTTCATTTTTGGTAATATTTGATGACATATCAGTTATATTCAAAATTTCTGATGGTCTCTCTCTCTCTGTCTCTCTCCCTCTCCTCCTCTGCCCCTCTCTCCCTCTGTCCCCTGTGACTTGCATCATTTTTCTTGAAGACATTCCATTATTGTTCCATTGACCTTTCCCTCATCACTGAGTCCTTTGGAGCTGAGTTATGTCAACAGCTGCCTTAATTACTTTGGTCAGAAGTGGTGGGAACCAGGTGAGAAGGAGAGTGCTGCTAAGCTCCCGCCTGCTGCAGGACGACAGGCGGGTGACACCCACGTGCCACAGCTCCACTTCAGAGCCTAGGTGTTCTCGGTTTGACCCAGATGGTAGTGGGAGTCCAGCTACCTGGGACAATTTTGGGATCTGGGATAACCGCATTGATGAGCCAATTCTGCTGCCACCCAGCATTAAGTATGGCAAGCCAATTCCCAAAATCAGCTTGGAAAATGTGGGGTGCGCCTCACAGATTGGCAAACGGAAAGAGAATGAAGATCGGTTTGACTTCGCTCAGCTGACAGATGAGGTCCTGTACTTTGCAGTGTATGATGGACACGGTGGACCTGCAGCAGCTGATTTCTGTCATACCCACATGGAGAAATGTATTATGTATGTACAATGACTTTCACTCCTGACTTTGCAGTTCCTATACTTCCTACTTAAACTTTCACCCTTTGGCTGAGGCTTCCAGCGTAAACATAGTTACTTGAGTGGTTGCATGCTGCTGCTTCACGAATGAGCAGTAGTTTAAGTGTGCCATTTATTACTTATGGTTATCACAATTTCAGAAATGCATGTTTTAACAACTCCCCTGGGGAAAGCATTAACCAAAATCTATAGCACTTAATTTGTGATCATTTTAAGTGAAGTGGCATAATGTACATGAGATAACCTATGAGAAGCATTTACTCCCATCAGTGTAGGACAGATAAGTGCTTCAGTAAATGGTAATTACTCTTTCAAGTGGTGTGAATAGCTTTGAATACCTGACTTGTTGAAAATAGCTTTGGATGATTGGCATTAGTGTGGAAAAATGCATTTAATGCAGGCATTTTGGAGCTCTTCCGTTTATTTACTTCAACTAGTATTAATGCATTTTTGAGGATCACATTACTGCTAAAATTGAAAGAGGGAGAACATGTGATGGAGTTACGACCATGTGACTATTTTTGACTTCCCAGTGACCATTTCTTGACTTCCTGTGTATACCGCATTCCACGAAAGAACTCACAATGGGAAGGAACTCTCGACCTCTCAGGGTTGTGGTAGTGAGGATCAATTCTTCAAGGACAAGGACTTGGACTTTCATTGTTGTGCCCTTAAAAGCTTATCACAGTGCCTGATACTTTGTGGATTCTCAATAGGTATTCCTTAGCCAGTAGGTCTTCAGCATTTGACAGGAAAATCCTGAGGCCCGTTGTGTGGAATGACTGCTAGCTAGAGTAACAGTGAGGAGAAAAACCTATTGTAAAATGATTGTTTAAGGCTCTTTTTTTCCTCCCCACAAAGGGATTTGCTTCCTAAGGAGAAGAACTTGGAAACTCTGTTGACCTTGGCTTTTCTAGAAATAGATAAA
Organism: Homo sapiens; assembly: GCF_000001405.40. Classification (NCBI taxonomy): domain Eukaryota; kingdom Metazoa; phylum Chordata; class Mammalia; order Primates; family Hominidae; genus Homo; species Homo sapiens. The sequence continues at coordinate 88,277,176 of NC_000004.12, read as the reverse complement.
GCCTTTTCGAGTCATGCCCGCCTGTCTGCTGATGGTATGTAAAACTATCACATTCCTTGGATCCTAGGGAGTACATGGGGTGGGGGAGGAGTAAAAAGGAAACACTTTAAGTCCTTTGGGGGAGGGGATTTTAATGGACAATTGTTTGTAAGGATTTATGTAGAAATGAGTTTATATGAAGAATCACATTAAATGCTGTTGGGAACTCCAATTAATGTTAATACCTCACTTTTAAATGAAATATATTGGAGAATTTTTCAGAAAGAGAAGCCCCGAAACAGTTCTGATGTTGTACTTTAGTTTTTAAAAGATTTTAAAAATGTTTAATCTGTTTGCTTATTTTATGGACAAAATGTCCATACTATGAGTTTTGTTTTGGGTTTTTGGTTTTTTTTTTAGATGGATCTGGTGACCAAGTGCTGAAATACACTACAGGGTAATCACATCTAGCGAGGACAGTCATTGTCCAACAAGAAAAAAATTGCAAATAGGTCCTAAATAGAAAAAGACAATGGTTAATATGCACTAATTTGTATAACTAGAAGGAAAATATTTTTCTGTCACTTCTTAAAAAGCTCAATCTTGCAGCTTTTCTCTGGTAACTAGTGATATTTTCAGCATAAGGTCATGCTAGCTGAATTTAAAATTTTGTGTACTGTATGTCCTTAAATTTTGAAAGTGAAATGTTTCTGGTTTTGACTAAATTTATCAAAACCATTTCACGAAAATTCAGCAAACGTTTTCTAGTTAGCTAGTCCCAAATCTTTTGCTGTTAAAGTTAACCCTGAAAATTTCTGTACCAGCCAAATGAATGTGTGCATGTAACCTTGTAAATGATTTGAAAATGAATCATGCAATAATCTTGATCTGTATTTGGTTCATCCTTTTCTTAAAAAAAAGAAAGAAACCAAGTGCACCACAGAAATGTCATTTGCACAGTCTTCAGTTGGAATACATAAGGATAGAGATTGTTTGCATTTCACAGCGAAGGAACTGAAGATTAGAGTGGTAAAGGTCAGTTCAGAGTTAGGGCTGGGATTTTCCTGACCACCAGCATTATCTCTCTTCTCTCATGAGGAGAGGAGAAGGTAACTCTGCGATGGCTCTATTTACCATCTTGAGATTTTTTCCTGAGCTTTTTTTGAGAACCTTACTATCACACTCCTCAGGAAAGCATTACAGTCCACTCTCTTCAGGGATATGTTTTCCAGTTTGTAGATCATTTAGGCCCATTTTCTTTTCTTTCATTCCTTTGGAATTTTTCTTTTTCCTTTCAACTGGACCCTTACCTTTAAGAAGACAGAAGCTGAAAGAGGTAAACTTTATGCATAAGACTTAGCTCTTGTTCCAAATAGTTAAAACACATGAAGGAAAAGAGGAAATGAAATATTTTCTTATGGTTTTATTTTTATTACTTCCTGAATTTTGGTATGCTCTTATTTCATAGTAACTGAGTTGGCTGTGCATCTGGCTATGTCTCACACCACAATGTTTGTTGACTGTAGTGTCGGTGGTGTGCCCCAGCTGTTCTGTAAATAGCTGCAGCTTACTGGGCAAGGTTTTTGGATGAGAATGTCCAAATTTATCCCAGGCATGTGACCACCAACCAAAAACATTGGCCTTCTCAATGCCATCAGCCTCTTTTAAAAGTATCTAGTCAATGTAGATGCTTAAACCAATCGGTGATTGACTTGATGTAAAATATGACAGGACTCCTTTTATTATTGAATGAAGTATAACTCAACAGAATTTTGAACTTAAAGAATTTAATTAACTTGCCTATCTTAAAAGAAACTTTCTAAAGATACCTTTGTCACAAAAACATTAAACAGTTGTATAAAGAAATTAATCACAAAAATGTAATTCATATGCTAACTTCAGCAGCACATACACTAAAATTGGAATGATACAGAGATCAGCATGGTCCTTGTGCAAGGATGGCACACAAATGCATGAAGAGTTCCATATTTTTTATTCTTACTAAAATCAATTCATTTGTAATAAAGAAATTAAAATGCATTATTTAATTTAATTCCTCTATCATATGCTTTGAAGTAATGATCCCAGAACATTCTTAAGATATTTTAAAATGTATTTTTCATATAATGGTAATTTGTTTGAAAGTATAATGGAGCAAGACAAGATGATGCTCTTAGTGTGTACTAAAAGAAAAGGTCTATTATAATATTGTTATTAAATCTTATTTTGTTATTAAATTTGTTATTTGTTATTAAAATCTTATTTTGTATATATTCTTATCGGTCTGTGTTTTTTAAAAATTAGTGTTTTGAGAACATTTAAAAATTTTATTCTTGATAAGTTGCCAGAGCCTTCAAAGATGGCAAAAATTGTCTTGATATTTAGGGCCTATTTTATCAAATACATTAAAGCCACTAAAGATAGAATGCCATATGTTGTGTAACTGTTCAGTTTATGGATTTTTTAAAATGTCATTTTAAATTTCAAAGTTATTATTTAAGTTTAAAACTTTAGTTTTTAGCAAGAACTGAAGCAGTATCAGTATTATAAGAGTGGATAATATTCTTTTCGGCCTATGTATATAGATAGGACCAGTGCCAGTGAAACAAAATTTTGTAGTAAGTGCAGTTTACCCTCTCCAGTTTCTTTCATCTTTTCTCTTTTAGTATTAACCCCTTTCCCCTCTTCTTGAACCCTTCCTGTGAGGTGAAGGACTGTGGCTTATTCATTTTTGAATCTCCAGTGTGCAGCACCCTGCATAGAACCTGGCAGGTACTCAATAATTATTTGGATTGAACTGAGATCTCCACGCTGACTCTTTCTCACTGAAGTTACTGTAATTTTTTCTTTGATTATCATATAGCTGATTTAATCAAATTATTATAAAATGTTTGCATTTTAATGAGCTGTCACTCCTGGGTGGATTTGAATTTTAGTTAGCAGACACCTGAAAAAGGCTTAAACCATAGAAGTGAATTACTAATGGTGAGATTTTAGGTATAAAAGAGAGGCGTGCCGCTCAGTCCTACTGAAGCAGCATTGCTCGTCTGGCGTAATACTTGAGTTTCATTGTCTCATACCAAGGAAATCAAGGACGAGGACACACAAGGAGTGAGGTTAGGAGTGGAGACTTAATAGGTGAAAGAAAGAGAAAAGCTCTCTCCTGCAAAAAGAGGGGTCCCAAACAGCTTTCTAGTCCATGGTGAAGTGCAGGAGGCTTTATGGATGAACTTGAGGAGGCAGTGTCTGATTTACATAGGGCATGAAAGATTGGTTGGACCAGATGTGCCATTTGCATAGCACACGAAAAACTGATTAGGCCTAGGTGTGCAATTTGCAGAGCATTCAAGAATCTGGCCACCCCCACCCTAATCTTTTATTATGCAGATGGGTTCTCTACCTGGCCAGCGCCATGTTGCCCATTTCTTTACACATGGTGACAAAGAAAAGGGAAGATGGAACATATTGAACATGCTTGGCCCCAGGTAGCCCTTTTCTTTTTCTTTTTTTTTTTTTTTGAGACAGTTTTGCTCTAGTCTCCCAGGCTAGAGTGCAATGGTGCAATTTCAGCTCACTGCAACCTCCACCTCCCAGGTTCAAGTGATTCCCCTGCCTCAGCCTCCCAAGTACCTGGGATTATAGGCGCCTGCCACCATGCCTACCTAATTTTTGTATTTTTAGTAGAGGCGGGGTTTTGCCATGTTGGTCAGGCTGGTCTCTAACTCCCGACCTTGGGTGATCTGTCCGCCTTGGCCTCCCAAAGTGCTGGGATTACAGGCGTGAGCCATTGTGCCCAGCCCAGGTAGTACTTTTCTATTGGCACAGCTGCTGGCATTCACCTGTGCAAGCTTCCAGCTTGCTTATTTATGTTTGCAGCTCAATTTTTCAGGTTGCTCTTTGTTAGAAAAGAAATGGTTTGGAGGCTGCTTTTTGTTAAAAGGGAAGCCTTGCCACGGACTCCTTTACCCTCACTATGTGCCTACATAATTTATTTCTAGCTCCTGTATCAATACCATATTAACTTTCTTAAGTGAAATTAAAACATTCTTATCTCCTCTCAACTTCAGTTCCAAAGCTGTTACAGCTACATAAAGAACTTCAAATTATCTTACTAACATTTAAAATATTTACTGTTGAATGGCATTGCTGTTGCCTGAGCAAGTTCACACTCAAGTTACACTTAGTGAGAGCTCTTTTCTGCCCGGCATGTGTGAGTTCAGCGTGGGCAAGAGACTTTTATGTGCATTCAGTCCTTTCAGAAATGAGACGATGCCAACCACAGACGCAGCATGTCCTGGATGACTGATCTGTAAAATATAATAAAAGCTTATTGTTTGAGTAGAAAATAAAATAAAATAATTTACTGTTGTAGCTGGGGATATTTTGAAAAGAATAAAATCAAAATGCCACTTATCAAGAAATGGCAAGAACAAGATTCCCTTGCCCTTAAGAAATTGTCAGCTATTTTTATTGCTTTTTTGTTAATGCATTTTCAACCTGTCCTTAGTTATCAGTAGCAAATTTCATCACCATCTTTTAATTTTTTTATTCAATTTATACCAGTAATGTCTACTTTTACAATTAATAAAAGCAGCCAGTAAATCCGGATGATATCCCACCAGTCCGTTGTTTATAAAGAGATAGCCACTTAGAACAAACTAGATGGTAGAAAATTAGGTTATAATTCTATATTTCCTATAAGCTCTTCAGAGTGTTTCCAGATTGCTTAAACTTTGAAAGCAACAAAGCTCCGAAAGGGACAAATGGAACAAAAAGAGAAGACTTGCTCAGACATTCAGAGTGGGGGACATTGATGGCATTATGAGTCTCACCAGAAACTTTTATGTTCTTCATATCCTGTGACCTCTTTATGGAAGAATTAAACTACAAAAGAACCAGGGCTGTAAACACAGCATTTTTGAATCCCCTATGCCGGGACAGCCAAAAGAAAAAAAAAGAGAGCATTGATGAGATGTTCTTACCGTGCTGCTACTGCTTCAGCTCATTACTTTGATTTTGGTGTTCATGAGTCATGAGTCTAGAACACCCATTTTTAATAAATATTGAAACTGTATTGGTTTATACATAGTATTATTTACACAATTGAGTAATTACTAGGGGTCATTATACTTTGAAAAGTATAGCTTTTGCTCTTTATGTTGGCATTCACAATCTTGATCATTTTTCTTTTGATGTGTCGGCCTGCAACACTGGGGGAAAGAGAGAGCTGCAGAAATACCCATTTTGTGAATTATACAAAATTATAAACATGCGTCTCGCTAGCCTTTATTTAAGCAATGAATTTAAATTAATCATTCTACTCAAAAATGCCTTATAGGTACTAAGTCTCTGCATTAAGCACCATTAACAAATGCATTACTCTATGTATCTTGTATAGCGGGTGCTTTGATTCCTTCTTGATATATATTTAAGTCCCAGTAATTTGGTGGTATACTGTAGTTTACATCCTGCTTGTCAGATACAAATTCTTCCATGCTGTAACTGTAGATTTACCTTTCTATTCTTGAGACAATTCTGATATTGCTACCAAACAAATTTACAGTGCATTTTTTGTAACTCAGTAAAGGTAGTGATTTACTGTGTTTAAGACCAATTATTTCAGTGAATGTGTATATGCGTGAGTGTTTTTGTGAGTGTGTTAAATGTAGGTCTGTGTCACCATTTATGTGTCTTGGTACAGATACTTTTTTATATAGTTTTTTCAACCTTAGAAACCACAAAATTAAGAAAGAAGTGTTACCCTGTGATGAAAAAATAGGCTCAACTACAAAATACCATCAACTGGAACAAACTGAGTTTTGGAATAATTGATTTGGCATCTCCTGGAATATTATATAATTTGCTAGTTAAATTTTCACCAAAATAAAAAACCCTTCCCTTATTTTGCAGCTCTTTCTCTGCTCTCCCCTGTGTTGCAGGTTTGTAATGTTTGAGCACAATTCCTGGGTGAAATTCGTATTTGCCTCTGTGCGTGTTATTTGTGGCAGAGAACTGTGCCTGGTCAGCAGCTCTAGACCTGGAGCCCGTGGACACTATATGCGGGGCTTCAGTGGAAAGAGAGATCTGCTTAATTTTGTCCCAGGTGAAGGAGTCCAGCGGTTCCTATCCTGGACTACGGGAAGGTTCCCACATCTCTTTGTCCCATTAGTTGAGATGACTTGCAGTAGAAATTGTCCAGTGAGTGTTAAGAACTTATTGAAAGATGTCTTAGTTTTCTAGTTTTGTTGTTAGGCAAAAAGTGAGAATTTTTACTTCCATGTTAAATGTTAAATGAAAATGAATGCTGATTTAATATTTACATTCTTAAATGCTTAGCAAATCAGAATTGACAGTTAGTTTTGAAGCCTTTCCTATAAATCCTGGGATTTTGGAACTGTGAAGTTGGGTTGGTAAAAACTCAAAGTCTTAAAATTCCTAGGTGACAGAGCCATAAATTACAAGCCTAAATAACTAAACTTCTACTTATGAAATTTTAACTCTTTTACTGTGGCCAATAATAAACCATTTTTAAGAAAACTATTGTAGATGGTTTAAACAAATGGAAGGAATATTAAATTCCCGGGACAGGTAGCATCTGAATAAATGCCGTGTTCCCTTATCTGGCTCTTTAAATCGTTTGAAATATCATAGTTAGTCAAACTGTAAAGATTCCACTGTTTCATAGTCGTTTGGGTAATTTAAAGTTACGAGTTAACATTTGTAATATAAATATCACTGATACTTATGCTAAAACATTTATGTTATATGGTGGACAAATGTATCTTTCAACATTGCAGAAATATTACATTGGCACGACAGTTCCAAAATCAAGAGAAAAATGGAAAGATAGTGCAACTATAAATGTTATTTCTCAAGAAAGTTCAGCATGACTATAAAAGATTAAGTAGAGTTTGTTCATGCTTTTCCATCTTACTTTTCTGATTAAAGCAGGCATTTTAATATACTGATTGGAAAAATCTATTTATGTATATATCTCCTTCCAATGCATTACTGATGAAGTTTTCAAAATTATCTTTTTGGGGAGAAAAAAAAAGCTTGGAAAGATTGAGTCTTAATCAGTCAAATTAGTAGCACTTCGTTTTTCCTAAATGTACCTTTAAAATCGAAGTCATCTTTGGAATGTTTTAAAGAGTTAACAGTGTTACTAAAGACAATACCTGCTTTAAATAAGTTATCTTTTCCGATTTCTTCCACTTTGTTTTATTTTTTAGCCCATAATTTCACAATATTCTCACTTTTGACAAGGCTCAATGCAAATTAACAATTTTTAACAAGTGGTAAAGAACTTAGGGCAGACACTGTTAGAGGAAATCAAAGGAAGATGCAGAAATGCAGTCTGAGTTGGATGGAGGAAACGGTGACCTCAAGCCCAGTAACAATGAATTTTATTTGTTATTAGAGAAAATTCATATTTGTGGGATGCTCTGGGCCCAAACAGGACCCCAGGAGTTGCAGCTGGCAGTACTGCCCTGCGTTTGAAGACTACCTCTTTGTATTACAACCTTCTGGAGTTAGGAGTGTTAACTACACCAAGTTTATGAGAAGCTAGAATGAACTTCATTCTCCACCTCCCCTCCCCCAGATTTTCTGCTCCTGTAATGATGGTTGTAACTTTGTTTCACGTCTAGGGAGGACAAAGATAAACAGAAAAGAATGTGAGCCTGTAACCATTTTAGGATTTTTTTGGTGAACATTTATAAAATTAAAACAGTTTTAGAAGCATACAGGGGTAGAATATGCAAATGGTATACCCTTGGCATGTCTCACTTAGCCTACTAACTGATAATATGTTCACAGCATAGGAGTGAAAAATGGAAGAGAAAACCTTCTAAATCCATAGACTATAGAAAAGTCAGCTTGCCTCCATGGGCTCAAGTAGACCTAAGTCATCCCACCATCATAGCCAACCTAATTAAATTTTAATACTTTCAGTCTGGACACCAGATATCCATGAAGGTGTTGTTATAAGTTCAAGTCAGCTCTACTTGATATGAATAGAGGCCATTTGTAGATAGTGATGCAGTGTTTGCCAAATAAGGTTAGCAACCTTTCCGTTTGCATGGAGACTTGTTACTGAATTAAATACTTGTTTCTCTGCATGCTGTTACTTACATAGTTCATTTGCATTTTATTTGCTTAGCTCTAGTTAAATTAGAATGATATATTCCAGCATTAGTTTATCATGCTTGTGTTTTATTTTGTAATAAAAATTCCATATCCAATCATTTGACTGTCACTAACTTGTACTCTTTTTTTCATAATACTTGTAGCAACTCTTCTGACCTCTGGGACTACTGCAACAGTAGCCCTATTGCGAGATGGTATTGAACTGGTTGTAGCCAGTGTTGGGGACAGCCGGGCTATTTTGTGTAGAAAAGGAAAACCCATGAAGCTGACCATTGACCATACTCCAGAAAGAAAAGATGAAAAAGAAAGGTACTACCACCACTGATCCATCATATCATTCTATGTGGATGATGTTTTTAGTTCATAATAGTTTTTAAACTGATGTCATGGTTAAGTTTAACAGTGACTTGGTTTTCTTTTTGTTTTTTTGAGACAGAGTCTCACTCTGTCGCCCAGGCTGGAGTGCAGTGGCGCAATCTTGGCTCACTGCAAGCTCCACCTCCCGGGTTCACACCATTCTCCTGCTTCAGCCTCCTGAGTAGCTGGGACTACAGGCGCCTGCCAACACGCTCGGCTAATTTTTTGTTTTTTAGTAGAGACGGGGTTTCACCGTGTTAGCCAGGATGGTCTCGATCTCCTGACCTCGTGATCTGCCCTCCTTGGCCTCCCAAAGGGTTTTCTACATATCACACCATTGTCATTTAACTTTTAACAGGATCAAGAAATGTGGTGGTTTTGTAGCTTGGAATAGTTTGGGGCAGCCTCACGTAAATGGCAGGCTTGCAATGACAAGAAGTATTGGAGATTTGGACCTTAAGACCAGTGGTGTCATAGCAGAACCTGAAACTAAGAGGATTAAGGTAAGAAAGGACCTGCAAACACTTGATAAACCTGCGGAGAGTGAATGTAGGATTGTCTCTGCTGCACCTTTCTTGGAAGCCTTAACTGAAGCCAAAATGATTTTTAAAAGGGAGTAATTTATGGAAGGATAAAAAAACTTTTCAGGTAAAATAAGATGCTACTATTCTGGCCTAATTTATTGTAGAGGACAAAACAATTCTCTTTTTCCCCCTTTTTAGGTTCTTAGTTGAGACACTTTCTTGAAAATAAAAGTCAGATTAACTACAACAACAACAAACAAACAAGCAGACATTTGCACGTGCTGAACCCATTGTACGGGAAAGGCCTCAGTTAAAAGTATTTCTCTTCCAAGGCAGTGGCTTAGGGGCTTTGCTTAAATTGTATTTAAATAGCCATAGATCCTGCATAGTGACAAGATAAAGAAGAGAACAGTTTCAGTCTTTTAAAAGTCAGGAAAATGTGGAGAGATAGTAAAACCTGTTCCCAGATTTCTCTGGTGCCTGCTGGTTCCTTCTCTGGGCCAATAAACAAGTGCTGTCTCCAGTAAAGAAGGACTGATGTCCTGCCACCAGGCAAGTAGAGGCTGAGGAAGTGTACCCCTGCCTTTTCAGTGACTTGACTTTAGCAATCCTCAATATTTCGGGGAGAAATATTTTGGCTTCCCTCAGTTTGAAGTGTTAGGTTTTTGTTTCACCCCAGCTATGGAATTCTCCTGGTGAAATGGTCCTGCTGTTCTTCCTCACCTGCACCCAATCAGCCAGCATCACCTGCACTCAATCATGCAGCATCACCTGCACCCAGTCATCCAGCATCACCTGCACACAATCAGCATCACCTGCATCCAATCAGCCAGCATCACCTGCACCCAAGCAATCAGCATCACCTGCACCCAGTCAGCCAGCATCACCTGCACCCAATCAGCCAGCATCACCCACACCCAATCAGCCAGCATCATCTGCACCCAATCAGCCAGCATCACCTGCACCCAATCAATCAGCATCACTTGCACCCAATCAGCCAGCATCATCTGCACCCAATCAGCCAGCATCACCCGCACCCAATCAGCCAGCATCACCTGCACCCAATCAGCATCACCTGCATCCAATCAGCATCACCTGCACCCAATCAGCATCACCTGCATCCAGTCAGCCAGCATCACCTGCACCCAATCAACCAGCATCACCTGCACCCAATCAGCATCACCTGCATCCAATCAGCATCACCTGCACCCAATCAGCAGCACCTGCACCCAGTCAACCAGCACCACCTGCACCCAATCAGCATCACCTGCACACAGCCAGCATCACCTGCACCCAATCAGCCAACATCACCTGCACCCAATCAGCCAACATCGCCTGCACCCAGTCATCTAGCATCACCTGCACCCAGTCATCCAGCATCACCTGCACCCAATCGGCCAGCATCACTTGCATCCAGTCAGCCAGCATCACCTGCACCCAATCAGCATCACCTGCACCCAATCAGCTAACACCTGCACCCAATCAGCCAGCATCACCTGCACCCAATCAGCCAGCATCACCTGCACCCAATCAGCATCACCTGCACCCAATCAGCCAACATCACCTGCACCCAGTCAGCCAGCATCACCTGCACCCAATCAGCTAGCATCACCTGCACGCAGTCAATCAGCATCACCTGCACCCAATCAGCATCACCTGCACCCATTCAGCCAGCATCACCTGCACCCAATCAGCATCACCTGCACCCAATCAGCCAGCAACACCTGCACCCAGCCAGCATCACCTGCACCCAATCAATCAGCATCACCTGCACCCAATCAGCCAGCATCACCTCCACTTGGAAGCTGCCCCAACTTCCCTTTTCCACCAAGCCAAATAATCGCCCACCTCTACTTCTGTGGCATCCTTTGCATGCTACTAATCAGTGTCTTCATTGTCCTGAACTGCCCCCCAACACACACCCAGTCCATGAGCTGACAGTTCTCTAAAACTCCTGAGCCACTATAGTCTCTAGCACAGTATAGTGTAGGCTTCCAAAACTGGCAGCAAACACTTGTTAATTAATTGCATGAAGGGTTTCAAGTCTATAGATATCCCACATCGTGTGTTATAGATATCCCACTTCATTTTATCTAACAGATACTTAGGCAGAGTTTACTATGTGCTGGGCTCTGTTCAAAATAAGTACTACTATCCCCATTTTTCAAGGAAAATCTAAAGCATACAGAGGTCAATGCACCTCTGCTCACCCAGCCAGATAATAGAGGCAGGATTCAAATCCTAGAAGCCTGCTCTTAGAGACAGCACTCATAACCATTACATTGAGCTACCTCTCACCATTGGGCTATCTGGATTCTCCCTTTGTGATGTTAAATTATGGAATTAAATCAAGATATCTTGAAGGGTGTTTGCTAAATTGTTAGGCGTGATTACCTCTGGTGATGGGATTTCAGAGGATTGCAACTTCTTTACTCTTTACTTTTAACTACTATTTATATTTTACTAACTAAATATTAGCTTTATCCTTGCTGGTTAATTCTAAATGTTACTACTTTTGCCCAACAGGTAGGCTTTACATTTTCACTGTTTGCCTATGTATTGGTCTGTTCTCACACTGCTAATAAAGATATACTTGAGACTGGGTAATTTATAAAGGAAAGAGGTTTAATGGGCTCACAGTTCCACATGGCTGGAGAGGCCACACAATCATGGTGGAAGGTGAAAGAGGAGCAAAGTCATGTCTTATATGGTGGCAGGCAAGAGAGCATGTGCAGGGGAACTACCCTTTATAAAACCATCAGATCTTGTGAGACTTCACTATTATGAAAACGGCATGGGAAAGACCCACCGCCATGATTCAGTTACCTCCTACCAGGTCCCTCCCACAACACATGGGAATTATGGTAGCTATAATTCAATATGAGATTTGGGTGGGGACACAGCCAAACCATATCAGCTTACAAGCTGTTACACAGATGACCGCTTAGCAAAACAGGTAAAATCTTTGAATTAGCGAGATTGTGCTAAGGCAGAGTCTAGCTTATAATCATAGGCATTTGGTTCTGATTGCAGTTACATCATGCTGATGACAGCTTCCTGGTCCTCACCACAGATGGAATTAACTTCATGGTGAATAGTCAAGAGATTTGTGACTTTGTCAATCAGTGCCATGATCCCAACGAAGCAGCCCATGCGGTGACTGAACAGGTGACCCAGAGCTTCTGCCTGAAAAGTCCCAAGGAGAAGGAAGGAAAGGACAGTCCAGGCATTGTGTTTTAGCTTTTGAGTGTTGCAGTGAATTTTACACTTGATTCCATAATATTTCCAATTATAAAATTTTTATTTCCCCAAGTTAAAATTTTAATATGCCAAGGAAATGTGCTTTGTTTATTCTTTGGCTTTGTATATACCTTGAAATGATAGTAACAGCAATAGTAAATTATAATAGTAAACTAATATTCACTTGCTATGTGTCAGACAATATTCATATGTATTAGCTCATTACTGTATGTATTGTACAGTATGTACAGTTACATATATTGTAATCATCACAATAACCCTATTAGGTTGGAGCTATTATTGTCCTTTTTCACAGATGAGGAAAACAGGTACAGAGGCTACAGAGTTAATCACTGAAGGTCATAAAACTATTAAATTGCAGAACTGGACTTCAAACCCAGACAACTAGGTTCCCAAGTCCAACCACTTGACCGTTAAACTAGAGTGCTCCAAGCAAATATCCAATTTGAAGATATAGCATAGTCACCTTCTGGTTATTCAGAATGGGTGTGTGGAGAAGATAAACCAAAATACCAAAAGGCATAGGGATGAGGTTGTGTGTCAGTCAGAACTAAAATTAAAAGAAAGCTGGGTAATATCCAGTAAAGAAAACATAAACTATGCTTCGTATTATTTAAAATATTAGAGGCATGTTTTAATTCAACAGCTATTTTTGCATTTCCCAAATTAAGATAATAGACCTTACTTTAAAAGTATTATTTGCTTAGATGGGCAAACATGATTATAATATATGAATTATTCATTTGGTTACTGCCTTCACCCGTGCTAAACAGGGTATTCATGAAATTGAGGAAATAGGCCCAATTTCATGGATGAACACTTCTTTCCTAATTTCAGCTGCCTGTCTTGCAGATATTTGCATTCTAATTCACAAAGGTAATGAAATTTGTAATGAATGCATAGTGTTCCATTTTATTCTTATACATAATTCATTTAACAGTTCCTCTGGTCAAGAAATTTAGTTTATGTTTATTTTTTCCATTCTATAGAGGAAGCCCAGTAATAAACATTCTGATGTCTATTTGTGCATATCTGTTTCCTTCAGGAAATAGGTTTCATTCTTAGGAATAGTATCCAGGTGTGGTGGCATGCATGTATAGTCCCAGCTATGAGGGAGGATGAGGTGGGAGGATTGCTTGAGCCCTTAGAAATACAATCTTTAGGCCAGGTTTGGTGGCTTAGACCTGTAATGCCAGCACTTTGGGAGGCTGAGATGGGAAGATTGCCTGAGCCCAGGAGTTCAAGACCAGCTTGGGCAACATGGCGAGACCCAGTCTGTACAAAAAAAAATATTTTTTTTACTTAGCTGGGCATGGTGGTACATGCCTGTGGTGTCAGCTACTTAGAAGGCTAAGGTAGGAAGATCACCTGGGTCTGGGAGGTCAAGGCTGCAGTGAGCCGAGATCGTGCCACTGCACTCCAGCCTGGGTGACAGAATAAGACCCTGTCTCAATAAATAAATAAAATTTCTAGATGAAAGAATACACAATGTTCTAGAGCTTTTAATAAGTTTGCCAAATTATCCTCCAGAAATACTATACCAATTTACACTAGCATGTTCTACAGTTTGTTTTTCCAAATTCTTACCATATTTTTTTTTCTTACCAATTCGATAGATGGAAAAATCAAATTTTAGTGTAGAAATTTTTATCTTTTTTCTTTGTTGGTGGAGTTAGCTATTTGCATAGGCTTATTAGCCATTTGTATTTCTCTTACGATTATGGCTAGTTTTTTTGTCTTTCAATTTCCAAGGTTTTTATTCCATTAGGGTAAATTTCCCTAAAGGGAATTGAATTCCTGGTAAGAGCTAACAATTATCAAGTCCTCACCGTGTGTTACTCCCTACGCTGAATGCTTTACAGGTATCTTCATTTTCAGGAGCTGCATACCAATGCCCCTTAGTCCACTGGTGTTTCTGTTGCCAAAATTGCTACAGCAGAATATAGTTAATATGGTTGTTTTGGGTCATCTGTTATTCCGTGTGCAATTTAATAATCCTTGTGGGCATTAATACAGGGTGAAAATCACAAACCATTGTGAAATAAGTAGGTTAGTAACTGCACATAAGACCAGTTTGGCTTTCTAGGGGAAGCGTATTTCCAAGGGAAGGAAAGGCTGATTTCTCTTTGTATAGACTGTGATTTCCAATGTTTTTCTCTTTCTTCCTGCCAAACCTTGCAGGCAATACAGTACGGTACTGAGGATAACAGTACTGCAGTAGTAGTGCCTTTTGGTGCCTGGGGAAAATATAAGAACTCTGAAATCAACTTCTCATTCAGCAGAAGCTTTGCCTCCAGTGGACGATGGGCCTGATTACCAGCTGGGACTTAGAGTTTCTGTGCAACAGTTTTTCACTGAGCATGTCAAGAAACTGATAAGATCAAAAAGGTCTCCTAACTCACTAGATCAGCGCACAAGTCAGTGTAAACCACTTAGATAGTAGTTTTTTCATAAATGCTCATCATATTTATGTTCCGCTGTACATGTTCAGTATAAATATATGTGTAGTGAAGCTACTGTGAGTCTTTAAATGGAAAGAGCAAATGAGAAGTGGTTTGGATACACTTGATGAGAGATGAGAGTGTCACATTAATAATTTTTAAGACTCTTAGGCAGCTATGGGTTTCTTTTGATCATTTTTGTTCTTTATTCATTTGAACACGTTTTTGAAGTTCTTCAAAACTAGTCAGTTTGAATTTTGACAGCTATTCAATATGTGATCTCCAAGTTTAAAAAAATTTTTTTCCAGACTTCCCTAATCCTAAAATGCGAGTTTTTATTTTTAATAACTGTACCAAGGAATAAGTATGAAAACAGTTCTCTGTTACCATATTTTGTATTCTGGACCACTTACTGGTGAAAGCAACCATGCAAAAGAAATTAATTTGGCCAGGCACAGTGGCTCATGCCTGTAATCCCAGCACTTTGAGAGGCCAAGGTGGGTAGATCATCTGAGGTCAGGAATTCAAGACCAGCCTGGCCAACATGGTGAAACCCTGTCTCTAGTAAAAATCCAAAAAAAAAAAAAAAAAAAAAAAAAAAATTGGCTGGGCGTGGTGGCAGACACCTGTAATCCCAGCTACTCGGGAGGCTGAGGAAAGAGGAATCACTTGAACCCAGGAGATGGGGGTTGCAGTGAGCTGAGATCATGCCATTGCACTCCAGCCTGGGCAGCAAGAGCGAAAAACTCCATCTCAAAAAAAAAAAAAAAAAGAAAGAAAAGAAATTAATTCAGATGATGTGACATTACTAAATTGTATACATATTTATAAATGTGTATTTCAGCTGTCTCATCAGCCCTCCCCTCCATTTATTCCTATTTTTCTGTAGTTAAGAATACTGTAAAAATGTGACTATTCCTTAATATCAGAAAAGAATGCACAGGCTGAGTCTTCCGGTCAAAAGTTAAATACTGATGGAATCAAGTATTTTGTATGAAGTTCTCATTTGTTATCTCTAACGCTATTTTGTGTTTTGCATATAGTATTATAGTATGTGTATATCACTTTTTGTATAGAGTAAGCAATTGAATAATTTGTTAATAAAAATAATACCACATTGACTGATACTGCTATAGACATAGCTTGAGTTTTATGTCTCCTTTTTGCTCATTTTCTAAGACTTAGGAGAAAGAATAAATCTAAAATGACCATTAAAACATTCTCCATTTCAGCTTGCTGTGTAACTTAGGAAGTATAAAACTATACTTCTCTTTATCTGCATGTAAGTTTGCTGTTAAAATGTGAATTTCTAAATGTGTATTTGGAATTATTTCCGTAGTTTATTTCTGCAAACTATGTAAATTTGTTATATGTGTGAGTATGTGTACATATGTATATTTTAGAGTAATATAAAATTAAAGGGAACAATCTTGCATAGCTCTTTCACCAGTTTTAAATTATTGATACGTTATTTTTAAGGACTCTTGACAAACTAGGGGCAATTTTCTTATAGTGGAGACCCAGTGATTATCAGCAGATGAGGAAATAGGTTAAAAATTGCTATATGGCAATTTGTATATAAAGTAATAGGATGTGAGAAAAATACTGAATCTTAAGAATGACATGGAATTCTGTGGCAGAAACAAAAGAAAAAGTTGATGTAGTATATACCTTCAACTGTGTTTTGAGTTGACTTTTTTTTTTTTCTTTAAGCTTTGGGTAAAAATGTATGAGGAGGGAGAGGGCCCAATATAAATATTTACATCTTCTTACCTTTTTGGAAATGGAAGAAGATAAATCTTGAGTTTTTCTGCCTATATTAATCAGGAATTGCCCTTTGAAAAAAGTGCTAAATAAATATTTTGATTTTTTTTTTCAAGGGAAGTTAGGTGAAAGAAGGAAAAACATCACAGGAAAGACTGTTAACATTCTGTTTGTTGTCTGAGAGGTGAGGAACCAAAGGGAGGCAACTAAAGCGGGAAACCATCTTGCTTTTTCTAATCAGTTCTTGGAACAGAAATGTGGAAGCTACCTTTAGGAACATGGAGAATTTCCAAACCAACAGGCAAAGGAAAACTAACGCACAAAAATGACATTCTGAAGATGCAGGTTTCAGCCAGGCGCGGTGGCTCAAGCCTGTAATCCTAGCACTTTGGGAGGCCAAGGCAGGTGGATCACCTGAGGTCAAGAGTTAGAGACCAGCCTGGCCAACATGGTGAAACCTCATCTTGACCAAAAAATGCAAAAATTAGCCAGGCGTGGTGGTGGGTGCCTGTAATCCCAGCTACTGGGGAGGCTGAGGAAGGAGAATTGCTTGAACCTGGGAGGCGGAGGTTGCAGTGAGTCGAGATCGCGCCATTGCACTCCAGCCTGGACAGCAGAGCAAAAACTCCATCTCAGATAAATAAATAAACAAATATGCAGGTTTCATTTTTGTTTTGAATGCTTTACATTACTATTCCTATCTTTTACTTTAAAAACTAAGATGAGGAGTGATGTTGTCAAGTTCAAAGGCATGAGGGTGATTGATGGATTGAGGTAGATAGCCAAGTTTGTCTGTTTTTGTTTTTTATAGTTACAGAGTCTCACTTTGTTGTCCAGGCTGAAGTGCAGTGGTGCAATCATAGCTCACTGAGATTGCCAGGTTCGACAAAGAGGAATTTATAGGATGGGGATATAGGGTAGACTTGACTCTGCTTTATCCGGGAAAGCTTTTAAAACTCTGAGCCAGTTAACTTTGAGTAAGCATAAAACATACTGTATTGGTGTTTGTATTTTTCATGCCACAATATTAAAATGGAATTTTAAATGTAGATTATTATAATCTATAAAAGATAAGTATGCATGTATTAGGATACTGGAAAATATGCAAATCATAGTAAAAAAAAAGGGACTGCTCTAGTTTTTCAGTTATAACTGAATTTGCCATGTGGGTATAGGCATAGTGTAAATTACATTAATGTAGTAAAACATCAATTGTGGTTCGGTTTGTCTTTCATTTATGTGTAGTATAGAAATCACCTTTCTAATATGTGTTGCCAAACTATTTGCCACCATCTATTTGGTGAAATATTCATTGTCATTGTGATTTTCCACAAGTATAAGTTCTTAAGTACTTTATAGATTCAGAAGTAAATGCTGTCCTGTTCTCCATCAGCTGTTCGTTTGTTACAGATTTTGTATTTCTTTTTTTTTTTTTTTGAGATGGAGTCTCACTCTGTCACACAGGCTGGAGTACAGTGGTGCGGTCTCGGCTCCCTGCAACCTCTGCCTCCCGGGTTCAAACGATTCTTCTGCCTCAGCCTCCTGAGTAGCTGGGACTACAGGCGCGTGCCACCACCCCTGGCTAATTTTTGTATTTTTTTTTCTTTTTTTTTTTTGAGAAGGAGTCTCTCTCTGTCACCCAGGCTGGAGTGCAGTGGCACGATCTCGGCTCACTGCAAGCTGCGCCTCCTGGGTTCACGCCATTCTCCTGCCTCAGCCTCCCGAGTAGCTGGAATTACAGGCGTCCGCCACCGTGCCCGGCTAATTTTTTTGTATTTTTAGTAGAGATGGGGTTTTGCCATATTGGCCAGGCTGGTCTCGAACTCCTGACCTCAAGTGATCCACCCACCTCGGCCTCCCAAAGTGCTGGGATTACAGGCATGAGCCACCGCACCTGGCCAGATCTTTGTATGTCTTAAGTGTTTCAAAGTTATAAGCATTTTTCTGGGGGGATGTCCATTTTGGAGGGATCCATTTTGATCCTTTGTACTCTATAATGTGAACTTTCCCCTGTTCCAACACTTAAAAGAGAATTATTAGCACATAATCTAAAAGATGGAATTTTTTTTTTTTCTTGAGACAGAGTCTCGCTCTGTCGCCAGGCTGGAGTGCAGTGGCGCGATCTTGGCTCACTGCAACCTCTGCCTCCTGGGTTTAAGCGATTCTCCTGCCTCAGCCTCTGGAGTAGCTGGGACTACTCGTGCATGCCACCACGCCCGGCTAATTTTTGTATTTTTAGTAGAGACAGGGTTTCACCATATTGGCCAGGATGGTCTCGATCTCTTGACCTCGTGATCCACCTGCCTCGGCCTCCCAAATTGCTGGGATTACAGCACTGTGCCCTCCTAGGAAATTATTTTTTAAGTGAAATTTTATTTTTATTTTTTTTAGGATTTTGGTAGAGAATGAGTAGGCCTACTCATCAATATCAAACAGGACATTTAGTTTCTTTCCTTAGAACAGACATAAATTTAATTTCATGGTAATATGATAATAAGAAAATGCTTCTATTTTTCTTTAGCACCTCCATGGTTCTCATATACCCATGTCTGTAAAAAGTGACATGAGAATTTTGTTGGGTTACATTTTATTGTATTTATTAGATTCGCTTATATAGATGACTTAGGCAGAAATAAAGTCATGTCTTTAGAAGGTGAACAAGCCAACTTGTGATGGCCTGCCTTTTGCTTTTGGCAGTTGGGATGAGAACAATTGACTCTCCCATTGGTTGTTAGATAGTTGAAATGGTGCGTTGGTGGTCATACTTAGTGTTCTAGGCTGTGAAATCATGGAGTTCTTCCACTTCCAAGAATGACTCATTTGCTGTTGGATTCTAGTACAGAATTTAGCAGCCTGATGTGTCCCCAAACTGATTTAATTTCTACTGAAGTGCCCTTGTGTACATTTGTTTTGTAATTTACCAAAGTACTACCTGAGTGTATAATGACTCCTGCAGTGAGTTAATGTAATTGCTGCTTTGACCATTGTTTTAAATCTGTGTACTAGAGTAACTGTGAGCAGAATGAAATCACATTATCTCAGTGTTCAAAATATCATTCTAATAAAGTACATGCATTAAACAATTTTAAAAATCCAACTGTGTTTATTTGGCATCCAGACTGCAACATTGTGTATGTGATCCTGTGAACTCCATAAAAGAGTGATATAAAAGAGCTAATGGGCCGGGTGCAGTGGCTCATGCCTGTAATCTCAGCACTTTGGGAGGCCAAGGCGGGTGGATCACTTGAGGCCAGGAGTTTGAGACCAGCCTGGCCAACATGGCAAAACCCCGTCTCTACTAAAAATACAAAAATTAGCCGGGTGTGGTGGTGCGCACCTGTTATTCCAGTTACTCGGGAGACTGAGGCCTGAGAATCACTTGAACCTGGGAGGCAGAGGTTGCAGTGAGCCAAGATCATGCCACTGCACTTCAACCTGGGTGACAGAGTGAGACTGTCTCTCAAAAAAAAAAAAAAAAAAAAGATAGTCCAGAAACTCTAACCTAATAGATGAATGAACATTAGAGATGGTAATTGAGAATATGTCACATAAATGTACAAGCCAAATGAATATAACTGGGGAGCAAGTATGAAGGAGTGGATAGAATGACCAAACAGTACAGGACTTAGAAATGACCATGTAGGGAAGCCTAATAAAGTCAGTCTACCAGTGGTAAGTATTGAGAACCTATGACCTATGTACATTTCTGTAAAAGACACCAGGGTGGATGTAGCAGGGCTTGGGGACAATGGTGGTCGATTATCTTCCCAGAGAGATTTTGTCAGGAGATGGAAAAGTGAGGAAAGTGAATTATACCAGAAAGATAGCAGTGTGTATCTGAACAAGTGAAGCGAATGTGGAGGCAACAGAGATCTAATCAGTGAAGTCACTGAGCCTTTGGTAACACACCAAGGGTAGGTTCTAGCCCGGATCAGGAGATCTATCTCACATCTTAGGAGGCAGGGAGCCAAAAGCAAGACTAGTAACATGGCTTTTTTTTTTTTTTTTTTTTGCTGAGCCCAGTGCAAAATAAAAATGCAGAGCCATTATTAAAAAATTATTAAGAATTTAATAAAGAGTCCAGTGTGGTGGCTTATGCCTGTAATCCCAGCACTTTGGTAGGCCGAGATGGGTGGATCGTTTGAGCCCAGGAGTTTGAGACCAGCCTGGACAATGTAGTGAAACCCTGTGTCTATAAAAAATAGAAAAATTAGCCAGATGCGGTGCACGCTTGTAGTCCCAGCTATTAAGGAGGCTGAGATGGGAGGATTGCTGGAGCCCAGAAAGTTGAGGCTGCAGTGAGCTGTGATCCTGACACTGCACTCCAGCCCGGGCAACAGGGAGCAAGACTTCAGACTCCATCTCAAAAAAAGGGAAAAGGAATTTCAAGATTGCAAGAATAGAGCATTAAATCAAGTGTGGGACCCTTCCAAGTGCTGGGCCCTGTGTAGCTACACAGGATTGACACTCATGAAGTTGACCCTAGCCAAAGGGAAATACTATGTGGGAGCAAATCTTAAGTTACTGCAGAGCACACAAAAAAGAAGGGAGCATAATGTAAAGAAGCCAATAGTGCTCTACAACACACATACGTAGAGGCTAGGAGAACAGAAGGCGTCAATAAAAGTAGCAGTAGAAGGCCAGGTGCCGTGGCTCATTCCTGTAATCCCAGCACTTTGGGAGGCTGAGGCGGGCAGATCTTTTGAGGCCAGGAGTTCGAGACCAGCCTGGCTAACATGGTGAAACCCCATCTCTACTAAAAATAAAAACATTAGCCAGGTTTGGTGGTGCAGGCCTGTAGTCCCAGCTACTCTGCAGGCTGAGGCACGAGAATCGCTTGAGCCTGGGCGGTGGAGGTTGCAGTCAGCCAAGATCGCACCAACAGAGTTAGACTCTTTCTCAAAACAAAAAAGAAAAAGAAAAAGTTTAGTAGCAGAACACTTCATGGTAAGAGCTCAGAGAAAGAGCTTTCAATTAAGGTGTCCCAGGAGTTGTCCTATTTCATTTATTTCTTCCCAAAATATTGTAAGATGGAGGTACGGTATTGTCACAGGTTGCGTTCCCTAGGAAGCAGACTCAGACTGAGATTAGTGTGCAGGAAGTTTATTAGGTAATGCTCTTGGAAACAACACATATGACAGGGAAAGGACAGAAGCAGGAATGGGCAGAGGGAGACTTTGGTCTGTCATGTCATGACAGAGGCCCACTGTCCTCTGCAGGGAGCTCTGGAATTGCAATGTCCCCTAGAGTTGTGCCCACTTGATGGGGGTCTGAGGAACAGATTTTTATTACCCTGACATTGAGCATTAATTGGATGCAGACAGTCCTTGGAAAGAGGACGTGACTGAACAAGGAGACTGTCTTCTGCCATCTGCCATCAGGAAATACCTGGAGAGGATGACAGATGAGAGCTGTCCCCTGGCAGTGCTCCTAGCAGCTAGAGAAAGAGTTCTCGCACAACACAGCATCCACTAAGATTTTTATTTTTTTGTTTTTTTAGAGATACAGTCTTGCTCTGTCACCCAGGCTGGAGTGCAGTGGCACTGTCACAGCTCACTGCAGCCTTGAACTCCTGGGCTCAAGGAATCTTCCCACATCAGCCTCCTGAGTAGCTAAGACTATATTATAGGTGTAATTTTTTTGTAGAGATGGGGTCTTGTTATGTTGCCCAGGCTGGTCTCAAATGCCTGGCCTCAAGTGATGCCCCTGCCTGAGTCTCCCAAAGTGCTGGGATTACAGGTGTGCGCTACCGTGCCCTGGCCTGCATCCACTAAGTTTTAACTTCACTCTGCATTTAAGACTGAAAAGACTGAGGGATTTGTCCAAAATCCCACACCAGTTTCTGTGCAGTTCAAACCTTCATTTCTGGGAACTGCCCCTTACTCATAGCTCTTACTTAAATGTTTGGTCTGGGGGCCATGTTTGTACCAACTGACACTTATTGCTATTTTTTTTTTTTTTTTTTTTGAGACAGAGTCTTGCTCTGTCGCCCAGGCTAAAGTGTAGTGGCACAATCTCGGCCCACTGCAACCTCCGCTTCCTAGGCTCAAGCGATTCTCCTGCCTCAGCCTCCCGAGTAGCTGGGATTACTGGTGTGCACCACCACGCCTGGCTAATTTTTGTATTTTTGGTAGCGATGGGGTTTCTCCATGTTGGACAGGCTGATCTCAAACTCCTGACCTCAAGTTATCATCCTGCCTCCACCTCCCAAAGTGCTGGGATTACAGATGTGAGCCACTGCGCCTGGCCACTTCTTGCTATTTGGACTACATGATCCTAAAGTCAATCCTTGGCCAGTCAACAACCATATTCTCTTAAAAATTTATGCTGAGAGAAGGTTGGGCTCCTGAGCTGTGTAATGGAAGGAGCTAAGATTGAAAGATTTGTCAAACTGGCCTACTGGTTTCTAGAAAACGTGCACACTGTTAAGTGCAGAGAAAAGCAGAGATGAGAGCAGACATTTCCCAGAGAGAGACAGAAGTGGAGGAAAGAGCTGCCTCAGGCCCAGCAGTCTCAGCTCCCAGCCCCTGGCTGGTTTGAGAAGATTTCTGTATAGATTCAAACTCCTGTAGATAACAAAAAAAGCAGCCCCTGAGGACTCTAGCAAGGGATTCAAACCCAGCCCTATTTCATCCCAAAGTCAGTTATTTTCCACTGCAAAAGTCAGATAAGGTTAATAAGTACTTATACATTAATAAGTAAATGAAAAAATACCAGAAGGAACATGAGAACGCTGCAGCCATTAATTGGAAACCAGGAGGAAGAGAGTAAGTAGAAAATGTGTCAGGGCAAGAAGGAGAAAACACAGTAAAAGTAAACAAGACCAAGACTAAAGTTAACCAAACTCTTAGATTTTAGACTTCCCTGACCACAATTATGGCTTCACTTTCCCATTTCTCATTCACTTCTCAATTCCCTGCATTCTACCCTCTGACTCCACCACACCAGTGAAACATTGGTCTCAAAGGTCCACACTGACCTCTTATTGGCTAGATACAGTGGTTCTTTTTAGTTTTAACTTACTTGAGCTCTTTAGCATTTAACCCTCTTGGCCACTCCCTTCTCATTAAGCAGTCTTATCTTTCCCATCCCTACTTTTCTGGTTTTCCTTCTAAATATCCAGCAGTTGCTTCTCAGTCCCCTGCCCACTCATTGTCTACCATCAACCATCTTCTCATGGTGTGTACTGTCCTTGTGAAAGGCAATACTGCGTTATGACTGCACCTGTCACCTGTATGCTGGTGACTTGCCACTTTATTCCCAGCCAAGATTTCTCTCCTAAGCTCCCAACTAAAATATCCAGACAGGGACTGAAAATGGCCATTGAGGGCCTCTAGACACCTCAACATATCCAAAATGGAATTCCCACCCAAGCTTATTCCTTCTAATTTGCCTCTCGTGGTGAATGGCAATGCCTCCCACTCAGACTCCCAAAGCAAAACCCAGGAACCAACCTTTGCTGCTTCATGTCTATAATTTGTCTCCTCTGCTCCATCCTCACTACAACACGGGAGTTTTCCAACTGGTTTCCCTTGCCTTTGGGGTCACCCTTTGTCCATTCTTCACACACTAATCAAAGCATGCTTATGTTTACATTCTTCCAATTGCAACTTCTAGGTAAAATTAAAGCTCTTTAGCATTGCATGAAAGACACTTTCTTCGTAATCTATTCCCTGCCACTGCTCCAGCGTCATTTCTTCCACTTACAAGTTTCCTTCTTGATATGGTTTGGCTGTATCCCCACCCAAATCTCATCTTGAATTGTAGCTCCCATAATTCCCACGTGTTGTGGTAGGGACCTGTTGGGAGATAATTGAATCATGGGGGCAGTTTCCCCCATACTGTTCTCATGGTAGTGAATAAGTCTCACAAGATCTGATAGTTTTATAAGGGGAAACCCCTTTCTCTTGGCTCTCATTCTCTCTTGCCTGCTGCCATGTAAAGACATGCCTTTCGCCTTCTGCGATGATTGTGAGGCCTCCTTGGCAACTTGGAACTGTGAGCTCATTCAACCTCTTTTTCTTTATAAATTACCCACTCTCAGGTATGTCTTTTTTTTTTTTTTTTTTTTTTTTTTTTTTGAGACGGAGTCTCATTCTGTCGCCAGGCTGGAGTGCAGTGGCACGATCTCAGCTCACTGCAACCTCTGCCTCCCGGGCTCAAGCAATTCTCCTGCCTCAGCCTCCCGAGTAGCTGGGATTACAGGCACAGGTCATTCCTGGCTAATTTTTGCATTTTTAGTAGAGACGGGGTTTCACCATGTTGGCCAGGATGGTCTCGATCTCTTGACCTCATGATCTGCCCACCTTGGCCTCCTGGAGTGCTGGAATTACAGGCATGAGCCACCACACCTGGCCTCAGGTATGTCTTTATCAACAGCATGAGAATGGACAAATACACTTCTTAAGCTTGATCCCATTCATTGCACTTGTTTCTCTCTCCCTTTAACTCATCTCCCTGCTTCTTTCCTTGGCAAACTTCAAAATTCAGATGTCATTTCCTCCAAAATGTTTGTTCTAAGACTCCCAGTCTAAGTTCCCCTTTTGTGTATGCCTACATCCAATGCTTACTTCTATTCGAACACTCACTACCCTGAATTATGACGCTTTGTTTCCTTCCCTTGCTTCTCCTTTAGACTGTGAATTCCTTAAGGGCAGGGACTAGGTCTTCTTTCTTTTTTTTTTTTTCTGAGATGGAGTCTTGCTCTGTCACCCAGAGCTGGAGTGCAATGGTCCAATCTCAGCTCACTGCAACCTCTGCCTCCCGGGTTCAAGCAATTCTCCAGCCTCAGCCTCCTGAGTAGCTGGGATTACAGGTGCACACCACCACGCCCAGCTAATTTTTGTATTTTTGGTAGAGACGGGGCTTCACCATGTCAGCCGGGCTGGTCTCAAACTCCTGACCTTGTGATCTGCCTGCCTCAGCCTCCCAAAGTGCTGGGATTACAGGCATGATCCACTGCGCCCAGCCTAGGTCTTCTTTCTATATAATCCTAACAATTACCACAGGGTCTGACACATAGTAGGCATTCAATGGATCTGAGTGATAAACTTAGAATAGAGAAGAGTTATGTAATTCCTGAGCCTTTTTTGAAACTTGAGAAGGCAGCCTTCCAAAAAAATGAATCACGGAAAAAGTTAAAATCACTGTGTTGCTAAGAAGAATGAGGTCCTCAGATTTCTCCAATTAGAACTAAATGGAGTAGGTGGGCCCAGCATTGTTTGAAGCTCTCGTTCAATCAGTTCTAGAAAGTTTTGCAGCACAGCTGACAAAATATGACATTGATGCTTGAAGTAAGAAATGATGATAACGTAAGAAGATACAAATCTAAGAGTCTTCTTAGGTCCTGCCAAGAAGATCTTCACACTGTGATATTTCCCTGACACCATGCCTGCTCTTAAGGATCAAAGAAATGTGAGCAGCCTGTCTAACCCAAAGCCCAAACCCAAGCTCATTAGAGAGAATCCCTGTCCCAACATCCACATTTTAAAAGTCAGATAATATTAATGTTGGGTTTTCTAATCTAGCCCCTTGTTTTCAAAATTACACAGTTTATTAGATGCTAAACCAGTGAACATCTTCCAAATTAACCCCTAAAAGTCACTGAGTAAGTTCTTGGAGAATGGGAGCCAGGTGTCCAGGTGTGTTTTATTCTGTCATATACACAGGGTACCGATCACAGTTCTGCACATAGGCACGCAATTTATGAATGAAGAAGTGAACGAATACGCTCTACCATTCTCTTTGGTGTAGGTGAAAGAGCACACTGCCATTTTTCCAAAGATGAAAACCTTTAGAATTTCTTTGGGGAAAAAAAAATTACTTAAAAATTAAAGTCTAGCCTGGGTGTGGTGGCTCATGCCTATAATCCCAGCACTCCGGGAGGCTGAGGCAGATGGATCATTTGAGGCCAGGAGTTAGAGACTAGTTTGGCCAATATAGTGAAACCCAGTCTTTACTAAAAATACAAGGCTGGGCACGGCGGCTCACGCCTGTAATCCCAGCACTTTGGGAGGCTGAGGTGGGTGGATCACGAGGTCAACAGATTGAGACAATCCTGGCTAACACGGTGAAACCCCGTCTCTACTAAAAATACAAAAATTAGCCAGGCATGGTGGCATGCACCTGTAGTCCCAGCTACTTGGGAGGCTGAGGCAGGAGAATCACTTGAACCTGGGAGGCAGAGGTTGCAGTGAGCCGAGATTGCTCCACTACACTCCAGCCTGGGCGACAGAGCGAGACTCCATCTCAAAAAAAATAGCTGGGCATGGTGGCACATGCCTATAATCTTAGTTACTTGGGAGGCTGAGGCATAAGAATCACTTGAACCTGAGAGTGGAGGTTGCCGTGAGCCGAGACTATGCCACTGCACTTCAGCCTGGGCGATGACACAGCAGGACTCTGTCTCAAAAATAAACAAACAAACAAATAAGTGATTATTTTTAAAAAATTAAAGTATATTAGAACAAAGGCAAATAGATTTATGTTAAATTGCTGAATCAGTTGTCACTATTTGAAAGGATGATGGAAACTTATCTTTTGGAATGTTTACATGTTTGCATAAGAGGTGGTGAAAAAAATGCTTTAGAGCATGAAATCAGGCCAGGCACAGTGGCTTATACCTGTAATCCCAGTGCTTTGGGAGGCCAAGGTGGGAGGATCATTTGAGCCCACTAGATTGGGGGTGCAGTGAGCTATGATGGAGCCACTGATTCCAGCCTGGGCAACAAAGCAAGACCCTGTCTCTAAGAACCCAACAACAACAACAACAAAACAACAACAACAACAACAAAGAGTGATGTTGCCTCAATCTCATCTCCCTCCACTGGCCCCTAGAATAACTGAGCAATTTATTTAATCCATGCTGTCACTTGGTTTTGTCATTTTAAAATGAGGATGATTATAATACCATGTAGGGTTGTTGTGAGACATTTGAGATTCATTCAAGTTAATAAACAACCCACACAGTAACATATCCCTCTTTCTGTCATTGCTTCCTGTCTCTCTAGGTTTTGCTTTTTTAGCAAATGTTTCTATGCTTTTCCCTCTTCTCTTATATGCTTTTTTCCTCTTAGTATCTTTCTACTGCTTTCCTTTTTTAAACTATCTCTTTCCCTGACTGATCGAATTTCTTCTAATATTCTTTTGCCTCTTTCTCACTCAAAAATACTGACAGTGATGAAATTTAGAAAACTGATAGAGGACGAAACAGTAATAACTATCAAAACCGTATTTCTGGCCAGGTGAGGTGGCTCACACCTGTAATCCCAGCACTTTGGGAGGCCGAGGCGGGCCGATCACTTGAGGTCAGGAGTTGGAGACCAGCCTGGCCAACACTGTGAAACCCATCTCTACTAAAAATACAAAAATTAGCTGAGCATGGTGGTGCATGCTTGCTAAGCTACTCAGCTACTCAGGTGGCTGAGGCAGGAGAATCGCTTGAACCAGGAGGCAGAGTTTGCAGTGAGCATAGATCACGCCACTGCACTCCAGCCTCGGGCACAGAATAAGACCCCATCTTGAAAACAAAAAAACAACAAAAGAAAACACTATTTCTAAGCCAGGTGTGCTGGCATGTGCCTGCTGTCCCAGCCACTCAGAGGCTTTTTCAGGAGGATCCCTTGAGTCCAGGAGTTGGAGGCCAACCTGGGCAACACAGTAAGACCCTGTCTTTAAAAAAAAAACAAAAAAAACACCCTGGCCGGGCACGGTGGCACATGTCTGTAATCCCAGCGCTTTGGGAGGCCGAGGCAGGTGGATCACCTGAGTTCAGGAGTTTGAGACCAGCCTGACCAACATGGAGAAACCGTGTCTCTACTAAAAATACAAAATTAGCAGGGTGTGGTGGCACATACCTGTAATCCCAGCTACTTGGGAGGCTGAGGCAGGAGAATCGCTTGAACTCGGGGGCAGAGGTTGCAGTGAGCTGAGATTGTACCATTGCACTCCAGCCTGGGCAACAACAGTGAAACTCCGTCTCAAAAAAAAAAAAAAAAAGCACCCTATTTTCTTTCTCTCAAGTTAATTTCTGATAGCTGCCAGTTCATGCATATTTTTTCTTACATTTCAAAATCAGTGAATGTGTTCATATTAAGTTATGATTTTCTTTTTTTTTTTTTTTTTGAGATGGAGTCTTGCTCTGTCTCCCGGGCTGGAGTGTAGTGGCGCGATGTCTCGGCTCACTGCAAGCTCCGCCTCCCGGGTTCACGCCATTCTCCTGCCTCAGCCTCCCAAGTAGCTGGGACTACAGGCGCCCGCCACCACGCCGGCTAATTTTTTATATATTTAGTAGAGACGGGGTTTCACCGTGTTAGCCATGATGGTCTCGATCTCCTGACTTTGTGATCCGCCCACCTCGGCCTCCCAAAGTGCTGGGATTACAGGTGTGAGCCACCGCGCCCAGCCTAAGTTCTGATTTTCTTCACCTAAGATAACCTTATATGTATGCTATGTGTCAAATACTTGTTAATATTTATGATTATGATATTGTATGCCAGTTTATGTCATATTGTCTAATAGTGGGGCACAATGATTGTTCATAATTTTTACTATTTAAAAATCTCTCCTGGGCCAGGCTCGGTGGCTCAAGCCTGTAATCCCAGCACTTTGGGAGGCCGAGACGGGCAGATCACGAGGTCAAGAGATCGAGAGCATCCCAGCCAAAATGGTGAAACTCCGTCTTTACTAAAAATACAAAAATTAGCTGGGCATGGTGGCACGTGCCTGTAGTGCCAGCTACTTGGGAGGCTGATGCAGGAGAATCGTTTGAACCCAGGAGGCGGAGGTTGCAGTGAGCCAAGATCGCGCCACTGCACGCCAGCCTGGTGACAGAGCAAGACTTCGTCTCAAAAAAAAAAAAAACAACAAAAAACCTCTCCTTACTTTATGCCATTTTCTTTGGTCTCCTCTGCCACAAAAGGTATATACAAACATACAAGTGCTTCATTATGTAAATACATAAAGTTTGCTGTATTTGTTGTGTAGATCTTCAGCCTTTTGAAAACGAACCAACCAACCAGGCAGCGCTGTGCTCTTGGAAGTCTTTCTTCTCTGTCAAGCTGATCTAGGTACCAATCATTAACTTTCTTATACCTAGATTCTCAGACCCCAAACATTTATGAACAGCCATACGCATATGCCAGGTAATAACAGAGGTGGGGTTGGTCTGTCTAGTAAAAATATTAGCTTTGATTCGAGCTTCCCTAGATGTTTGTACCACCTTTCAGTACACAAATCTGGAGTTAACAAGGAAAACTTGTCAGTTGCCAATGTTCTGTTCCGGTGCTTCGCTTTTAAAATTCAGAAAAGAATCACTGAAATAGATTTAGTATTTCAAAGTTCAAAGTTCTGTGTGACTTGGGGTAATGTTTATAGGCTCATTTATATTCTCACTTGGTTTACAATGCTGATTACAAAGCCTTGATTAAATACTTACTATGTGGACAGAATCTCACTATTGGACTATAGAAGCATAAGATCTGGCCAGTAACTCTGAGAAATTTATAATATAATTGGCAAAACAAGAAGTCAAATCTACAAGTGCTGAGGAGCTTGTAAATAATAATTATGAATCTTGATAATAAATAAAGAGATAGGTGGGAGGATCGCTTGAGCCCAGGAGTTTGAGACCAGCCTGAGCAACACTGGGAGACTGCCTCTACGAGAGAGAGAGAGAGAGAAGTAGATGAGAGGCTGGGTGTGGTGGCTCACAGCAGTAATCCCAGTGCTTTGGGAGGTTGAGGCAGGAGGATTGCTTGAGGCCAGGTGTTCAAGAACAACCTGGGAAATTCCATCTCTACAAAAATTTTTGTAAAAAATTAGCTGGTTATGGTGACATGTGCCCATAGTCCTAGCTACCCAGGGGGCTGAGGTGGAAGGATTGCTTGAGCTCAGGAGTTCAAGGCTGCAGTGAACTATGATTGCACCACTACACTATAGCCTGGTGAACAGAGCAAGACCCGGTCTCAAACAAAAACAAAACAAAAAGCAATCCCTGGGGATTTCACAGAGACTCCTAGGAATGGTTGGTTTATTCCCAGTGTTTTGAAAAAATAGATGTTCCAGGGTAAAATAGTTTGCATTGCAAGTCGTGTGCCTAAATCAATGTGAGCTCTGTCTGATTTTGCTTTAAGCCAGAGGTCTTCAAACTTTGTTCCACAGAACCCAGGAACTTCTCAAACATTTTATTCTAACTTTTTGTTTGTATGATTGGTGATTATATTTGATTCATAGTCTTTGATTTTTAAAAACATGCAAAACACATGAATATATTCTTGTGAAGATTTGTAAGTTAGCACATGTTATCGAGCACTGACTGGTATACTGGGCACAATTCTAAGAACTAAGGATACACTGATGAACAAAGGAAGTAAAAATCCATGCCCTCATAGAGCTTACATTCCAGTGAAAGGAGAAAAACAAACATAGTAAGTAACAAATTATATAATGTGTTAGAAGGTGAGTAATGCTATAAACAAGCATAAGATGAGGCAGACTGGGAACGCTAGTAGGGGGAATTATAATTAAGTCAGGGTAGGCCTCACAGAGAAGTTACCACTTGAAAAACTTGAAGGAAGTGAATTAATGAGCAACATAGGTAAACAGAGGCAGAGCATTCTTCGCAAAGGGAGCTGCCTTTTCAAAAGCCCTAAGGTGCATCAATGCATGTATATTTGAGGTTTAGCAAGGAGATTACAATTAGTAAAAAGAAAAATGAGATCTGAGAAGTATGGGTAGGGAATCAGTAAAAGGGAAAATAAAATCAATCAGTAAAAGGGAAAATGAGATCAGAGAAGTAGGGGGTAGAGAATACAGATTGTGCAGATCTTTTGATTCTTTTTTTTTTTTTTTTTTTGGAGAACGGTCTGTCAGGCTTGAGTATGGTGGCGTGAACATGGCTTACTGCAGCCTCAACTCCTGGCTCGAGCAATCCTCCTGCCTCAGCCTCCTGAGTAGCTGGGAATACAGGCGACATCCAGCTAATTTTTGTATTTTTGGTAGAGACTGGGTTTTGCCATGTTGTCTCAGGATCCTTAGGGTGTGGCTTCACCAGCCAGAAGCGTCTGTGGCTGGTGGCACTTATGCTTGAGTTTTGCTTATGCTCACTGGGATCGCCCACTTGGCCTGGCAGGCTGATCTTGGCTGGTGCTACCAGCCTGGATCCCATGCATGCCAAGAGCAAGCCAGGCATGAAGTGGCAGGGGTGTGGGTTGTGTCAGCGAGCGAGCGTGGAGTCTGGCCACTGTGCATAGCCAGGCAGGCTGGCTGCTGTGGCAGGGCAGGAAGCTCCAGGCATCAACACAAGCACTGGCTCTGTGCGAGGATGCGGCTAGACCAGATGTATTGCAATGGGCTTCCACTGCAGGCACCAGTGTCTGGACGAGGGGAACAGGTGGCGCCCAAAAGCTCAGAGATGCCAGGAACCGCAGAGTCCCAAAAAGAGTATTACAGCATGTCGAGCTCTGACTCAGGGAGCCCTGAGGTCTGGGCTCCCAGAAGGAGAGCCCTCTCTTCTTTCCTCCTCGTCCCAGTAAGGTGAGGTGGGGTGACGGGGGTTGGGGGCGGGGGAAGGTGGGGAGGGTGTTTCAGCCCGTTTGTGTTGCGGCTCTTTCAGTCCCACTGCCCTGCTTCAGCTCGGGGCTCCTGGGCTGGCCCCACCCCACCACTGCTTCCTGTCACATGGGACAGCTGCCTGGTGCCCATGGAGGGCAGAAGGGCTATAGTGTTACAGCCCCTTTAGCTCCTGCCACAGCTCGGGAGCCAGCTAGGAAAGTGTTACAGCTCCTTTTGCTCCTGCCATTCAGCGGGTCCTGGGTTCTTGTCCTGCTTCCAGGAAAAATGGAGTTATGCAGACAGCTAGAGGGTGAGCAAGGCAGAGGAGCTTTATTGAGCAGCGGTACAGCTCTCAGGAGAGAGGAGACCAGAAGTGGGTAGCTCCTATTCAGAGGCAGGTCGTCCTGAGTGTCTTGAGTCTGGCTGACTCCAGGGATTTTACAGGCTCAGAATGGAGGAAATGCTCAAAATGGAGGAAGTGTGTGCTGATTGGTCCATGGGCATGCCTGGAAAAAGCACCACTTGATTTGCCAAAAGGTATCAAGGAAGTTCTCACTGTGGGTGGGAGACTTTGTCCAGAACTGATAGCCCAGCCCCCAGGCTCCAGGGGACCCGCCCCTTCCCACGGAAGGAACCTGCCTGTCGCCCACCACCAACAACATGCTATCCATGGCACCCAGGCTGTCTGCGCAAGGGGCATCCTTAGGCCCGCCCCAAGCCACCCTCAGCCCCCCAGGCCTCCCTCCCGTACTCGTTGGCACCCAAAGTTTCAGCCTCAGAACCAGTTTCTGGAGGGGGCTGAGGTGGCGGTGGCAGGGCGGTGGTGTGTCAGTGCTGCCCCAAGTGTGTGCACACCTGGCCGGGTCACAACAGCACCTGGGCTCAGTTAACAGGATACGTCCGCAGCTTTGCTCTGCCATGGGGGCGGGTGCTGAGAGCGGGAAGAGGACAGGGAGTGAGAGCCTGCAGGGCTTCCCAGGGCCCTGAGAGTACAGGCATGCCTGGGTCCAGAGCCATGGCTGGGCGGCTGCAGCTGCACCCGGGAGCATGGGCTCCCACCCAACCACCCAACCAACTCCGTAGGGCATGGGGCTTTTGCTGGGATCAGCTGTTCCCGGCCCCGCCGGTTCCGTGGTGCATGCAGCCCTGGCTATGCCTCCCTCCCTGCAGCTGGTATCCTCACAGTGGCTACTCCAGGCAGGCCACCGCCACCATCAGTGTTGCCCAGGCTGGTCTTGAACTCCTGAGCTCAAGTGATCTGCCCACCTTGGCCTCCCAAAGTGCTGGGATTAGTGGCATGAGCCACTGTACCCAGCCCTCTTTGATTTTGACCCTAAGAAAGACAGGGAAATACATGAATATCTATTGGGAAATCTTTTTTGTTATTTATTTGTTATTATTTTTACCTTGCAGCTCCAGCTCAAAGGATGGGAAGTCTTTAAATAATAGAGATGTATATTTGCATCCTGCCTCCCAATGCCATACTTCCCAGAGATTGTTGCCATTTGGGGGCATGTCTTTCAGAGTTTCTTCTAGGTGATTTTGTAAATAAATGAATACTAGATACATACAGAAATATATATTTTTGTTCTGTGAGGTGTGTGTATGTGTGTCTGTCTGTGTGTGTCTTTTAATATCAATGAATTTATATGCCCTGTGTTAATTAGCAGCTTGCTGTTTTCAATTAATATGTATTGGAGGTCTTTGTCAATATAGCACATGTATTTCTATCTCAAACTGTTGCATAACATTCTATTGTATGCATTTGCTGCATTTTATTTACTCGTACCCTTGGAGATAAGCATTTAGGTTCTAGTTTTTCCTTCTTTCCTTTCTTTTCTACCTTTCTATATTGAATTACAATGGTCTTAATAGTATATTTAATAACATAAAATAACGTGTTACATCTGTTGAGGAGGAAACACATTATCCTCTACCTTCTCAGATTCTCTGGTTGGGACTAAGAATTAAACAGACATAAGATGGATAAACAGGAGAAAAGTAGACAAGCTTTATTAAATTTTTACATGTACATGGGCTTTCACATGACGCTCTAAAGAAGTGACTAGAGCAGAAATCTTTCTAAACATTTTTGACAAAGAAATTATACATTTATGAAGAAATAACAAGATAAAGGGGTTTGGACTGGAGGTAATAAATTGTGGGGAAATGACTGGGAGATATATGAATGGGGGTAAAACTAGTAAGATATAAGGATTATTTATTAAGTTTGTTTATGCAGATCCATTTCAATGTCGATTCCCAGTCTCTGGTGATAAGGATTTCTTGTCTTTCTGGTATAAGGAGGGCACCTTCCTCATGGGAAGTTTTATGGCCTATTCTTAAATAGAAAAGGGGAGGTCAGAGAGCCCTTCCTGCGTCAGCTCTTTCTCAAGTGCCTTCAGCTCAAAATAGTTAACATGCCAAAGCAGCATATTTTGGGGCAGCATGACCTTAACTCCTTCACATGAAACATGGGAGGAAATTTGAAAATTAAAGCTTGTGTTATCTTCTGTCAGAAAAAAAAGTATGTGTTTTCTAAATTGGAATCATTTAGATTTGCCCCAAAGGAAAAAAAGTCTTTGGTTACTTCTTAACGAAGGATTTATCTAACATTTATTATTCTGGAATAGATGGAAATCATGAGAGCTGGAGCCCAGTTTCTCTCAGCTTTGCTGAGTTCACTTGGTCATCTTGGCCAAGTTGGCATGAAGTCTACATCAGTAGAAAGTGAGGATCTAATATCACAACTTGCCTCATCCCACACTGCGCTCCCTTCTCCAATTACCTACAGCCTGAACCAATATGGCATTCAGCCAACACTTTTCAGGTCATGTGTGTTAGTCTTGTCAACTCAACCTTGACACCAACCCTGGAGGGCAGAAATCACCCCTTTTTCTCCTGAACAGTGCCTAGCTGATCCTTAGAAACATAGTTATTTACTTTCAATATGTGTTAATTATCTTTAAAACTGTATTTGCAGGTTAGCTTTATTTTGTTTAGAAAAAATCTTAGAATAAAAGTCTTACCACCTCTATAGCTGTATCAGAACTTCTTTTAAGTGTATCACTAGGCCGGGTGCAGTGGCTCACGCCTGTAATCCCAGCACTTTGGGAGACCAAGGCAGGTGGATCACCTGAGGTCAGGAATTCGAGACTAGCCTGGTAAACATGGTGAAACCCCGTCTCGACTAAAAATATAAAAATTAGCTAGGTGTGGTGGTGCATGTCTGTAATCCCAGCTATTTTGGAGGCTAAGGCAGGAGAATCGCTTGAACCCAGGAAGTGGAGGTTGCAGTGACCCAAGATCATGCCACTGCATTCTAGCCTGGGCAACAGAGCTAGACTCTCTCTCAAAAAATGAATAAATAAATAAATAAATAAACAAATAAATAATAAAAGAAGTTTAGATATATCCACAGAAATGGCAGAAATTTCATACCAAGGTTTGTCTAAACTTGGTTTCTACCTGGAATAAAGAATAATCTGCCAGGTATAGTGGGGCATGCCTGTAATCCCAGCTACTAGGGAAGCTGAGGTGGGAGGATTGCTTGAGGCTAGGAGTTTGAGACCAGCCTGAGCAACATAGCAAAACCCCATTTCTGGGGGGAAAAAGAATAATCTCACACATATTTCAAATGTATGTAGATTTATGTTGTGTGATTAAAATATGTTTATTTTAAAGAGTTATCTATGTTGTTATTGGCATTTTGTACTTTCTCTTCCGGGATACTTAAAGTGCAAATACTACCATGAGGAAAGAGGGAGTCTTACCAAATGAAAAAATGATCCTCATATTTACAAAACCCTGGCCAGGTGCATTGGCTCATGCCTGTAATATCAGCACTTTGGGAAGCTGAGGTGGAAAGATTGCTTTAGCCCAGGAGTTTGGGACCAGCCTGGCCAACATGAGACCCCATCTGTATAAAAAATGTCAAACATTTAAAAAACTAGCCAGGCATGGTGGTGCAAACCTGTGGTCCCTGCTACTTGGGAGGCTGAGGTGTGCTTGAGCTCCGGAGGTTGAAGCTGCAGTGAGCTGTGATAATGCCACAGCACTTTAGCATGGACAACAGAGTGAAACCCCATTTTTTAAAAAACAAAAAAAAAAATCAGAGAGAGAGGGCAGAGCAATATGGGTGAATAGAAGGCTCCACTGATTGTCCCCAGAGAGGAACACCAAATTTAATAACTATCTATACATAAAAAGCATCTTTCTTCAGGCAAGGCAGTCATGAAAGAAATAATATAAAATAAAGCACCTTCCTAAGAATGAAAAATCAGGTGAGCACTCACAGTGCCTGGTTTTAACTTCATATTGCTGACAGAGGCACTGAAGAGGGCAAGAAAGACAGTCTTGAATTGCTGATGGCACCCCACCCCTATCCTCTGGCGATGGCCGTAGGTGCAGAGAGAGAATCTGTGCACTTGGGAGAGGGACAGTGCAGTGATTGTGAGAGGCATTGAACTCAAAGCTGCCCTGTCACAACAGAAAGCAAAACTGGGCTGAACTCAAATGATGCCTGCCCATTGAGGGAGCACTGAGACTAGCCCTAGCCAGAGGGGAATGGCCCATCCCAACAGTCAGAACTTGAGTTCCAGCAAGTCTCATCATTATGACCTAAAATGCTCTGGGGCCCTAAATAAACTTGAAAGGCAGTTTAGGCAATAAGGACTGCAACTCCTACACAAGTCTTAGTGCTGAGTTGGGCGTGTAGCCAGTGGACATGAGGGACATGTGACCTACTGAGACACCAGCCAGGGCAACTACAGGAGTGCTTGCACTACCCCTCCCAAAACACCAGGCAGCACAGCCCTCAGCTGCAAAGGAGAAGCCTTACTTCTGCTTGAGGAGAGGAGAGGAAAGAGTAAAGAGGAATTTGTCTTGCAACTTGGATACCAACTCAGCCGCAGTAGGATAGGGCACTAGTCAGGGTCATTAGGCCCCCATTCCAGGCCCTAGTTCCCAGACAGTATTTCTAGACATACCTTAGGCCAGAAGGGAATCCACTGCCTTGAAAGGAAGGACCTATCCTGGGAGGAATCATCACCTGCTGATTAAAGAGACCTTGGGCCCTGAATAATCAGCAGCAGCACCCAGGCAGTACTTGCCATGGGCCTTGGGTAAGACTCAGAGATATGCTGGCTTTAGATGTGAACCAGCACAGTCCCAGCTATGGTGGCTATGGTGAGAGACTCCTTTTGCTTGAAAAAAGCTGAGGGAAAAGTAAAGAGGACTTGATCTTGCACCTTAGGTACCAGCTCAGCAACAGTGGGGTAGAGTAACAAGTGGGCTCTTGGGGCCCCTAATTAGAGGCCTTGGCTCTTAGATGGAATTTCTAAGCCTTCCCTGGGCCAGAAGGTGGACCATTTCCCTGAAGAGTGAGTCCCAGACCTGGCAGCCTTCAGCATAAGCTGACTGAAGAGCCCTTGGGCCTTAGTGAACCTCGGTGGTAGCCCGGCAGCACTCCCCTTGGGCCTGTGGAGGTGATGGCCATGGGTGAGTTTCCTCTGCCTGTAGAAAGGTGAGGAAAGCGTAGAAATAACTGTGTCACATAACTTGTGTGCTAGCTCAGCTGTGGTAGAATAGAGCACCAGGTAGATTACTAAGATTTTTGACTCTAGTCCCTAGTTCATGGATGGCATCTCTGGAAAAGAATAGGGTCTAGGGGAACTTGCTGCCCTGAAGAGAAGGACACAAATCTCGCTGGCTTTACCACCTGCTGATTGCAGAGCCCTAGGGCCTCGAGTGAACATAGGCAGTAGCCAGGTACTGGTTACAACAGGCCTTGGGTGAGACTCAGTGCTGTGCCAGCTTCAGGTCTGTCCCAACTCAGTCCCAGTGGTGGTGGCCACAGGGGTGCTTGTGTCACCCCACCCCCAGCTCCAGACAGCTCATCACAGAAAGACAGACTCCATTTGCTTGGAAGAAAGTAAGGAAAGAAACAAGAATCTGCCTGGTAATCCAGAGAATTATTCCAAATATTATTCAAGATTATCAAGGCAGTACCTCTATGAGTCTGGAAGAACCATAGTGTTACTGGGCTTGAGATGCCCCCTAATGTAGATATGTCTTAGATCTCAACACCCAAGTCTTTTTAAATGCCTGGAAAGAGTGCAGAGACTACCATAGATATCTGACTCTTCAATGCCCAAACGCCAATGAACATCCACAAGCATCAAGACCTTCCAGGAAAACATGACCTCACCAAATGAACTAAATAAGGGAACAGGGAACAATCCTGGAGAAGCAGAGATATATGACCTTTCAGACAGATAATTCAAAATAGCTGTTTGGGGGAATGCAAAGAAATTCAAGATAACACAGAAAAGGAATTTAGAATTCTGTCAGATAAGTTTAACAAAGAAATTGAAATAATTAGAAAGAATCTAGCAGAAATTTTGGAGTTGAAAAATGGAATTGACATGGTGAAGAATGCATCAGTCTTTCACCAGCAGAATAAATCAAAACAGAAGAAAGCATCAGTGAGCTTGAAGACAGGCTACTTGAAAATATACAGTCAGAGGAAACAAAAGAATAAAAAAATATAAAGTATGCCTAGAAGATCTAGAAATTAGCCTTAAAGGGGCAAACCTAAGAGTTATTGGCCTTAAAAAGGAGCTAGAGAAAGAGATAGGGATAGAAAGTTTATCCAAAGGAATAACACAGAACTTCCAAAACCCACAGAAAGTTATTGATAACCAAATATAAGATTATATAACACCAATCAGATTTAACCCAAAGAAGAACATCTCAAGGCATTTAATAATCAAACTCCCAAAGATCAAAAATAAAGGAAAGATTCAAAAAGCAGCAAGAGAAAAGAAACAAGTAACATACAATGAAGTGCCAATAAGTCTGGCAGCAGACTTTTCAGTGGAAACTGTACAGGCCAGGAGAGAGTGGCATAACATATTTGAAGTGCTTATGTAAAAAAACTCTTACACTAGAATAGTATATCTGGCAAAAATGTCCTTCAAGTATGAAAAAGAAATACTTTTCCAGACAAACAAAAGCTGAGGGATTTCATTAACATTAGACCTGTACTACAAGAAATGCTAAAGACAGTACTTCAATCAGAAAGAAAAGAACAGTAATGAGCAAGAAGAAATCATCTGAAGGTACAAAACTTACTGGTAATATTATAGTAACGCCACAGAAAAACACAGAATATTATAACACTGTAAGTGTAGACTTAACTACTCCAATCTTAAGTAGAAATACTAAAAAGATGAACCAATAAAAAAATAACTACAACAAGCTTTCAAGACATAGACGGTAAAATGAGATATAAACAGAAACAACAAAAAGTTTAAAAGTTGGCAGATGAAATTAAGGAGTAGACTATTGGTCTTTATTATTCTCTTTGCTTGTTTGTTTAAACAAGCAGTGTTGTTATCCGCTTAAAATCGTGGGTTATAAGATAGTATTTGCAAGCTGCACAGTAACTTCAAATCAAAAAACATACAACAGATACATAAAAAATAAAAAGCAACAAATTAAATCATACCACCAGAGAAAATTATCTTGGTTGAAAGGAAGACAGGCAGGAATGAAAGGAGGAAAAAGCAACCAGAAAACAAATGACAAAATGGTGGGAGTTAGTCCTTACTCATCAATAATAACACTGAATATAAATGAACTAAACCCTCTAATAAAAACACATGGAGTGGCAGAATGGATGAAAACACAAGATCTCATGATCTGTTGCTTTACAAGAAACACACTTCACTTAAAAAGACACACATAGAATGAAAAGAAAGGGATGGAAAAAGATATTCCATGCCAATGGAAACCAAAAAAGAGTAGACAAAATAGATTTCAAGACAAAAACTCTAAGAAGAGACAAAGAAGTCATTATATAATGATATAGGGGTCAATTCAGCAAGAGTATATAACAATTGAAATATATCTGCACCAACATTAGAGCACCCAGATATATAAAGCAAATATTAGAACTAAAGAGATAGAATCCAATACAATAAGAGCTGGAGACTTCAACCCCCCACTTTCATCATTGAACAGATCTTCCAGACAGAAAATCAACAAAGAAAGATCAGACTTAATCTCCACTATAGACCAAATGAACCTAATAGATATTTACATAACATTTCATCCAGTGGCTGCAGAATACATATTCTTCTCCTCACCACATGGATCTTTCTCAAGGATAGATTATGTTAGGCCTCAAAACAAGTCTTAAAACATTCAAAAAAATGAAATAATATGGACCATCTTCTCTGACCACAATGCAATAAAACTAGAAATCAATAACAAGAGGAATGTTTAGAAACTACACAAAACACAAGAAAATTTAAAAATATGCTCCTGAGTCAATGAAGAAATTAAAAGAAAATTTAAAACTTCCTTGAAACAAATGATAATGGAAACACAACATACCAAAACCTATGGGATACAGCTAAAGCAGTACTAAAAGGAAGGTTTACAGCTGTAAGTGCCTACATCAAAAAAGAAGAAAAACTTCAAATAAACAACCTAAGGATTCATCTTAAAGAACTAGAAAAGCAAGAACAAACCAAACCCAAAAGTAGTAGAAGAAAAGAAATAATAAAGATCAGAGCAGAAATAAATGAAATGAAGAAAACAATACAAAAGATCAAAATAAAATGCCGATTTTTTGAAAATATAAACAAAATTGACAAACCTTTAGCCACACAAATGAAAAAAAAATAGGAGAGAAGACCCAAATAAATAAAATCAGAGATGAAAAAGGAGACATTTCAGCCAATCCTGCAGAAATTCAAAGGATCATTAATGGTTACTATGAACAGCTATATGCCAATAAATTGGAAAAGCTAGAAGAAATGAAAAAATTCCTAGACACATATAACCTACCAAGAATGAACCATGAAGAAATCTAAAACCTGAACAGACCAATAGCAAGTAATGAGATTAAAGCTGTAATGAAAAATCTCCCAGCAAGAAAAACCCTGGGATTCAATGGCTATATTGCTAAATTCTACCAAATACTTGCTAGAAAAACAAATACTATCCTATTCAAACTATTCCAAAAAGGAAAGGAAAAGGGAACATTTCCAAACTCATTCTACAAGGCCAGCATTACCTTGATACCAAAACATGTCAAAACATATCAAAAACACAATGATACCAGCCTGGGAAACATGGTGAAACCCCAACTTTACAAAAAATACAAAAATAAGCCAAGCATGATGGTTCATGCCTATAGTCCCAGCTACTCAGGAGGCTGAGGTGGGAGTATCACTTGAGCCTGGGAAGTCAAGGCTGCAAGGAGCTGTGATCATGCAACCACACTCCAGCCTGGGCATCAGAGTCAGACCCCGTTTCAAAACAAAACAAAACAACACCAAAAACCAAAAAACCCCACAAAGACAAGGACATATTTTTTAAAAAAGGGACAGGCTATTATCAGTGATGAATATTGATGCAAAAATCCTCATCAAAATACTAACAAATTGAATACAAAAACAAATTAAAATATCATTCATCATGACCAATTGAGATTTATCCCAAGGATGCAAGAATGGTTCAACA
Organism: Homo sapiens; assembly: GCF_000001405.40. Classification (NCBI taxonomy): domain Eukaryota; kingdom Metazoa; phylum Chordata; class Mammalia; order Primates; family Hominidae; genus Homo; species Homo sapiens. Next base: position 88,235,616 of record NC_000004.12, on the reverse strand, counting down.
TATGCAAATCAATTAATGTGATAAGTCATATCAACAGAATGAAGGGCAAAAAACATAAGATCATTTCAATTGATGCTGAAAGAGCATTTGATAAAATTTAACATTCCTTCATGATAAACTCCCCCAAAAAAATGGGTATAGAAGAAACATATCTCAACATAATATAAGCCATATATGACAGACCCAGAGCTAGCATCGCACTGAATGGGAAAAATACTGAAAGCTTTTCCTCTAAGATCTGAAACATGACAAGAATGTCCAATTTCACCACTGTTATTCAATGAAGTACTGGAAGTCCTAGCTGGAACAATCAGATGAGAGAAAGAAAGAAAGGGCATCCATATTGGAAAGGAAGGAGTTAAATTATCCTTGTTTGCAGATGATATGATCTTACATTTGGAAAAACTAAAAACTCCAGCAAAAACCTGTTAGAACTGATAAACAAATTCAGTAATGTTGCAGGATACAAAATCAACATACAAAAATCATTAGCATGTCTATATGCCAACAGCAAACAACCTAAAAATGAAATTTAAAAAGTATTACCATTCACAATAGCTACAGATACAATAAAATACCTAGGAATTAACCAAAGAAATCAAAGATCTCTACAGCGAAAACCATAAAATATTGATGCAAGAAATTGAAAAGGATACAAAAAAGGGAAAGATATTCCATGTTCATGGATTCAAAGAATCATTATGGTTAAAATGTCCATACTACCCAAAGCAATCTACAGATTCAATGCAATCCCTATCAAAATACCAAGACATTCTTCATAGAAATAGAAAAAAAAAGAATCCTAAAATTTATATAGACCCACAAAAGACCCAGAATATCCAAAGCTATCCTAAGCAAAAAGAACAAAACTGGAGGAATCACACTGACTTCAAATTATACTACAGAGCTATAGTAACCAAAACATCATGATACTGGCATAAAAACAGAAAAACAGACACATAGACCAGTGGAACAGAATAGAGAACCCAGAAACAAATCCATACACCTATGGTGCACTCATTTTTGATAAAGGTGCCAAGAAGATACAGAGGGTAATGGACAGTCTCTTCAATAAATGGTGTGGGGAAAACTGGATATCTGTATGCAGAAGAATGAAACTAGACCCCTATCTCTTACCATATACAAAAATCAAATCAAAATGGATTAAAGACCTCAAACTATGAATCTATCTAAAGAAAACTTTGAGGAAACTCTCCAGGACATTGGACTGGGCAAAGATTTCTTGAATAATACCCCAGAAGCACAGGCAACCAAAGCAAAAATGGACAGATGGGACCATATCAAATTTAAAAGCTTCTGTACAGCAAAGGAAACAATCCACAAAGTGAAGAGACGACCCACAGAATGGGAGAAAATATCTGTAAACTCTCCATTTGACATGGAATAAATAACCAGAATATACAAGGAGCTCAAACAACTCTATAGGAAAAATATCTAATAGCCTAAGTATAAAATGGGTGAAAGATTTGAATAGACATTTCTCAAAAGAAGATGTACAAATGGCAAACAGGTATATGAAAAGGCTCTCAATATCACTGATCATCAGAGAAATGCAAATCAAAACTACAATGAGATATCATCTCACCCCAGTTAAACTGGCTTTTATCTAAAAGACAGTCAATAATAAATGCTGGTGAGGATAGAGAAAAGAAAGCCCTCATACACTGTTGGTGGGAACATAAATTAGTACATCCACTATGGAGAACAGTTTGGAGGTTTTTCAAAAAACTAAAAGTAGAGATACCATATGATCCAGCAATCCCACTCCTAGGTATAAATCTAAAAGAAAAGAAATCCGTATATTGAAGAGATATCTGCATTGCTATGTTTGTTGCAGCTGTATTCACAATAGCCAATATTTGGAAGCAACCCAAGTATCCATCAACAGACAAATGGATAAAGAAAATGTGGTACATATACACAGTGGAGTGCTATTTAGCCATGAAAAAGAATGGGATCTGGCCAGGTGCAGTGGCTCATGCCTGTAATCCCAGCACTTTGGGGGCCGATGTGGGCAGATCACGAATTCAGGAGATTGAGACCATCCTGGCTAACGCAGTGAAACCCCGTCTCTACTAAAAATACCCACATGGTGGCGGGTGCCTGTAGTCCCAGCTACTTGGGAGGCTGAGGCAGGAGAATGGCATGAACTCGGAAGGTGGAGCTTGCAGTGAGCTGAGCTTGCACCACTGCACTCCAGCCTGGGTGACAGAGCGAGACTGTCTCAAAAAAAAGAAGAATGAGATCCTATCATTTGCAACAATACAGATGGAACTGAAGGTAATTATGTTAAGTGAAACAAGCCAAGCACAGAGACACAAACGTAACATGTTCTTACTTATTTGTGGGAGCTAAAAATTAAAACAATTGAACTCATAGAGATAGAGAGTGGAAGAATGGTTACCAGAGGCTGGGAAAAGTATTGGGGAGGTGGGGGGAAGTGGGATGGTTCATGGGTACAAAAAATAATTAGAAAAAATAATTAAGACCTAGTATTTGCTAGCACGACAATGTGACTGTAGTCAAAAATAATTTAATTGTCCACTTAAAAATAACAAAAACACATTAGTCACATGTGGTGGCACACACCTGTAATCCCAGCTACTTGGGAGGCTGAGGCAGGAGGATTGCTTGAACCCTGGAGGTGGAGGTTGCAGTGAGCTGAGATCATACTGCTGCACTCCAGCCTGGGCATTAGAGTGAGACCCCATCTCAAAAAAAATAAATAAATAAATAAATAAAATGAAAAAAGTATAATTGGATTGCTTATAATACAAAGGATAAATGTTTGAGGTGGTGGATACCCCATTTACCCTGATGAGATTACCACACATTGTGTGCCTGTATGAAAATATCTCATGTACCCCATAAATATATACACCTACTATGTACCTACAAGAAATAAAAATTTAAAATTAAACAGAAAAAAAAAATCCCTGACGGAGTTATTGCTTAATGATTACAGAGTATCTGTTTGGGGTGACAAAAAAGTCTTAGAAACAGTGACGGTGACACAACATTGTGAATGTAATTAATGCTACTGACTTGAACTCTTAAAATGTTTCAAATGGCTAATTTTATGTTATACATATTTTACCATATTAAAATAAATTTATAAAAATAGATAAATGGAATTTCTTAACAACTTCAAGATTTTTTAAACGTTCATTTCATTTCAATAAATATTTACAAAATGCCTAATTTGTCCTAGGTACTGCACAACACAGTGAATAATCAGGATAGTGACTTAAATATAAACAGAACTTAACAGCAAGACAAATTCAGTAATCGGTATTTTGTGAATCTCATGAAATTTATCATGACAACTCTGTAAGGAAGGTATTATTGTTATCACTATTTTATTGTTGGGGAAGGCTTGGCTTAAGAAGCTTTTCAAGGCCAGTAAACAGTGGAATTAGAAGCACTTAGTAAATGTCATATTTTTTCTTTTGACATCTATCATGTTTTCAGAATATGAAATGCCTATTTAACTCCAGCCTGGGTGACAAAGTGAGATCTTGCCTAAGAAAAAAAAAAAAAAAAGCCAGGTTTGGTGGTTCATGCCTGTGATCCCAACACTTTGGGAGGCTGAGGTGGGAGGATTGCTGGAGGCCAGGAGTTCGAGACCACCCTGGCCAATATAACAAGACCCCGTCTCTATTTAAAATACACACACACACACACACACACACACACACACAGAGAGAGAGAGAGAGAGAGAGAAATGCCTATTTAGCACAGTCTTGACTTCCTATTTTACTTTTGGTTTAGGAAAGAATAACATGAAAAGTATAGCATGCTCCAAGTATACAGCTTCTCGGTCCTCTTTAGATTTCTGGTGGGCCTTTGCATTGAAACCTAACTCTTTGTTTTGGTTTAATTCGCTTCCTTTTCAAATTATGTCATAGTCCTGCTTGGTTGTTTTTTTGTGTGTGCTAGAAGGCAGGGCCTGTGAGAGGAGACCCTCAGTTACATCAGGGTTAAAAAAGCACAGGAAGTTTACGCACAGAGCAAAGCCATTTGCTAGAATTGGTTTTTATCCTTCCATTTCGAAAATAAAGTTGCTGTTTGTGTTGGAGATGCTGTCATCAGAATTCCGCGGCACAAAGAGAAAGATACAAAAATATCTCTCTGACATGTAACTTTCCCCCTTCTTCTAGCCCCTTGCTAGGAATGCCAGAAGAGGATCCCACGCTGACTGGAACCATTAGGTCTTTTGTTTGAATCCCAGTGATCGAGAAAGAAATGTGGTTCATAATCAGCTAGTAGTGGAGAAAAAAGGAACCCAAGGAGATAGGAGAGCTGTTAATTTCACTCGGGACATTTCCTCGAGGCTAGTTTACTCGGAAAGCCTCAATGTTCCCTGGTAGCTGCAGGATCTACTTTGGGGGCTGCCAAGTTTCCTCTCTCATTCTTTCTCCTGCCCCAAGAGCAGGCAGGAAGGAAAGTTCCTGGACTGATACTCGTCTGTTTAGTAGGCGTGGGTCCTGGTTGAAGTCTGTCTAGGAAAACTCCTAAGTGTAGAAATCTTCTTCGTATTACCACTGTCTCTGCACTGAGATTTGGGCTGCTTTGCTTCCAGCGTCACACATCATAACTGAGGTGAGTTGTTTGTTTTTGTTTTTTCCAATCTTCATACTTCGTAGAAAATCTTGATTCTTTTTTGATATGTGCTTTAACAAATGTGTCACTTAAATTGGTACTTCTCATACACTAACTTGCATATGTATCACCTGGAGATCTTGCTGAAACGCAGGCTCTGCAGAACTCAGGGGGCCTGGGGTGGGCCTCTGATTCTGCACATCTCAGCTGACCTCTATGGACCACACTTTGAGTAAAAAGGGCTCAAACTCTGTCAGTTTTTTGCATTTTTGGAAGGGGTTGGGCATTGTAGGCAGGATAAGGGTATTTGGCTGAACACATGATTTATGTTGAGCACCTGAGAAGACAATCAGACAACATCCTTTTCCTGGCTGTACCTACTTTGATGGCTATCTCTGTGCTTTGGGGTTTCTGTTAAGCAGATCCTAGGTGTGGTAAGCCAGATTACCCCTAAGTGAGAGAGGATGTTGGGCTTCTCCTTAGATTATATAGGCCACTTGGAGCAGAGCCAGAAATCCTTTTGTAATTTTTGTATTAACTGCCTATATCATGCCTCATCTGGTGTGGCTGGTGGTCACTTTGAACATTTCAGCTTAAATTGAAAATATGGCCGGGTGCGGCGACAGTGCGAGACTCCGTCTCAAAAAATATATATATATATATATATATGTGGCCAAAAAAAAAAATATATATATATATATAACAGGTGCGGTGTAATCATGCCTGTAATCCCAGCATTTTGGGAGACCGAGGCAAGTGGATCATCTGAGGTCAGGAGTTCGAGACAAGCCTGGCCAACATGGTGAAACCCTGTCTTTACTAAAAATACAACAATTAGCTGGGCGTGGTGTCACACGCCTGTAATCCCAGCTACTTGGAAGGCTGAGGCAGGAGAATCGCTTAAACCCAGGAGGCAGCATTTGCAGTGAGCTAAGACCGCGCCATTGTACTCCAGCCTGGGTGACAAGAGCGAAACTCTGTCTCTAATAATAATAATAATAATAATAATAATAATGCATGCCAGAAAAAATAGCTGATTTCTTTCTCCTATCATTCAGAATTGAAGATTATAAGGCATATGAATCTATTACATTGTTGAAAATCAGTTTGCATAGGGAATAGAATGTATTTTATCCTCCTGTAACAGGCCTGGTAGTGTTCTTTAAATGCAGTATGTTCCTTGTCCCAAACAATTTACAGTTATCTGAAAGTTGCATTTAACCCAAAAGAAACAAGCCAAGAGGAAAAAAGAGAATGGCGAGGAAATATACCTATTGTGTCCCCAGTTGAGGGGAGAAGAAAGCAATGGGAAAAAAGTGGGGAGAAAAGGAGAATGGTGGCCAGGAGTTGACAGGAGACACAGCTTCACAAAATGAATAAAAGGAACCCTATCCTGGAAATAGAATCTTTCCCACACATGCATGGGCGTTCTCCTAGAGTAGAAGCTTGTATCTTTCTTAGTTGGAAAAATGTGACAGAGACAGAGTAGGTAGGTTGTAAATTTTGTTCTATTTTTTTATAGAAACGGGATCTCATTATGTTGCCCAGGCTGGTCTCGAATTCCTGGGCTCATGCGATCCTCCCATCTCGGCCTCCTAAAGTGCTGGGATTACAGGTGTGAGCCACTGTGTCCAGCCAATTTTGTTGTTCTAGTGAAGATGCTGAAGCCATTTGTCATAAATCAAGGAAGGGCTATACAAGTGATAGTCAGAGGAGTGTGCAGGCCTGGTGAGGCCTGGTATGAACACATGGAACTGTGTCCAGAGTTGGTTCTTTCCGGTGGGTTCTTGGTCTCGCTGACTTCAAGAATGAAGCTGCAAACCTTCGCAGCAAGTGTTATGGCTCACAAAGGTAGTGCGGACCCAAAGAGTGAGCAGCAGCAAGATTTATTATGAAGAGCGAAAGAACAAAGCTTTCACAGTGTGGAAGGGGACCCAAGCGGTTGCCACTGCTTGCTTGGGTGGCCAGCTTTTATTCCCTTATTTGGCCCTGCCCATGTCCTGCTGATTGGTCCCTTTTACAGAGTGCTGATTGGTCCATTTTTACAGAATGCTGATTGGTGCATTTACAATCCTTTAGCTAGACAGAGTGCTGATTGGTGCATTTTACAGAGTGCTGATTGGTGCATTTACAATCCTTTAGCTAGACACAGAGCGCTGATTGGTGCGTTTACAATCCTTTAGCTAGACACAGAGTGCTGATTGGTGTGTTTTTACAGAGTGCTGATTGGTGCATTTACAATCCTTTAGCTAGACACAGAGTGCTGATTGGTGCGTTTACAATCCTCTAGCTAGACAGAAAAGTTCTCCAAGTCCCCACTTGACCCAGGAAGTCCAGCTGGCTTCACCTTTCAGAACCACTGCCAGACAGACAGGAATCGCTTCTGTTTGAACTAAGTTTCAAATAACATTCCCTTCTACTATGGTCTGTAATCAGAGGTTATGAAAAACCATAACCCTTGTAGCATAAGCACTGACTGATCAGAATACAACACAGTTGTAATCAGCCCACCCAACAGCGGATGGCAGGTAGGCAGTAAGCATGTGTGGGGCTGAGTATCAGCCTAAGCTATCCCGGGTCTGAATTAGACTTTTTGGGGGTAGATTGTAAGGCTGCAGATGACTTTAGAGACATACATTCTGGTTTCTACCATCATCTGCCAACTCTCTGGACCCATTTTCTCGGATGAGGCCATTTCCCTCTCTCTCAAGCCTGGAGTAATCCCTCAGTCCGGCTGTCTACTCCTGCAGCTGATACTGTAGAAAATAGAGTTCCCCTAGGGAACTACAAGACTCAAAATCCCATCTGCTTCCTGAACAGGAGAAGGGAAAGTGCATATATCATTTTGTGAAGTGTTACAGCAGAAAATGAAACCTGATTACCACATTATCCAACTGTACAAAGCACTGTCCCATACATTATCCCCTTGATTTTTCACAACCTTCCTGGAGTATATGGGTCAAGGAGATTGTAATTTCAACCTCTGAATGGAGAAATGAAGGTCCCAGTGAAGCAATTTGCCAAAGGCACACAGCTGGTCTGTGGGTGTGCTGGGATTCAAACTCAACGCTGGTTTGCTCTTAGTTCAGGTGCATCCTGTGCTTTTCTGGCCTCGGCATCTTCTCAAGACTTCTGATGACCTCTTGGTCTGTACAAAGGTTTGTTAACCTTTATGTCATAATTTGCAATCTTTGCATTAAAAATAATCCTATTTCTACTTTGTTTTGGTCAAAATTACTCATGTGTTTGTCTTAAGCTTTGTCTCCATTAAGGTCTTTACGCCCCAGGAAAAAAATATTTGACAGTAATGCTTCTCAAACTTTCTCAGGCTTAGATGTCACCTAGGGAGCTTGCTAAAACGCAAATCCTTGGGCTCCAACTCCAGAGATTCTGCTTCCCTAGGTCAGGCCCCAGGCGTGGGAATTGGCATTCTAATAAGCTCCCAGGTGATTTTAGTGCCACCACTCAGAGATCACACCTTCAAACAAAAGTCACAGCTCCAGTCAATATTTTAAAAGAATACATTTATGGTTTAGCGAGGGGGTATTAGTGTACTTTTGTATATGTATATTATTTATTTATTTTATTTATTTATTTTGAGACAGAGTTTCGCTCTTGTTGGCCAGCTGGAGTACAATGGCGCGATCTCGGCTCACTGCAGCCTCCATCTCCTGGGTTCAAGCAGTTCTCCTGTCTTAGCCTCCCTAGTACTGGAATTACAGGTGCCTGCCACCAGGCCTGGATTATTTTTGTATTTTTAGTAGAGACAGGGTTTCACCATGTTGGTCAGGCAGGCTGGTCTCGAACTGCTGACCTCAGGTGATCCATCTGCCTCATCCTCCCAAAGTGCTGAGATTACAGAAGTGATATTTGTTTTTATTTTTTAGTTTTTTTTAGACAGGGTATTGCTGTATCACCCAGGCGGGAGTGCAGTGGCATGAACAAGGCTCACTACAGCCTCTACCTCAAGGCTTCCATATCAACCTCCCGAGTAGCTGGGACCACAGGCACGCACCACCACACACAGCGAATTTTTAAATTTTTTGTGGAGGCTGGGTCTTGGTACGTTGCCCAAGCTGGCCTCAAACTCCTGGGCTCAAATGATTCTCCCACCTCAGTCTCCCAGAGTGCTGGGATTACAGGCTTGAGCCATGGCTTTTCTTTTTAAATATAAAATGCTTCACGAATTTGCGTGTCATCCTTGCCCAGGGGCCAAGCTAATCTTTGTATCATTCCAATTTTAGTATATTTGCTGCTAAAAGGAACATGTCAGGGTACTGAATAATAGATTATCATGCCAGAATTCCTTGGTTTGAATATTAATGCTATCACATGTGCAAGCTATGAGATCCTGGGAAAGTTAGTCTTCTTATGCCTCAGTTGCCTAATCTATAAAATGAGAATAATAATACTACCTACCTCATAGTGTAGTTGTGAGGATTAAATGAGTTAGCAGTGCAGGACACAGAGTATCTCTGTGAGTTTGCTATGATTATCACTAAGTCTTGCTCAATAATTATACTTTACAATAGAAACACCAACAACAAGATTCACACCAATAGCAAATGTTCTTTTCGGTTGTAGGTGTTGCCCCAGGTTTAGTCATGGTCAAACATGTTCTTGTGTGTGTGAATGTGAGGGACTAATTGTCCTGGGCTGTCAGCTAGCATGGTTATGTAGGGCTTTCCACATCATTATGACAGATTTGGACTTGACTCTGACAGTGATGAAAAGCCATCAACACAGCTTCAAGCTGGGAAGTGCAATCAGAATTGCATTTTAGAAATGTCTCTTGCTGTAGCATAGATGCCAGGTAGGAAGAAAGTGAGGCTGGAGGCAGAAACCTGTTTGAATAGACTGTTGCAATAGTCCCAGAGAGAAATAATAAGACTTAAACTAAGTGATATGGTTTGGCTGTGTCCCCACCCAGATCTCTTTTTGAATTGTAGCTCCCATAATCCCATGTGTTGTGGGAGGGACCCGGTGGGAGATAATTGAATCATGGGGGCAGTTTCCCCTATACTGTTCTCCTGGTAGTGAACAAGTCTCACAAGATCTGATGGTTTTATAAGGGGAAACCCCTTTCACTTGCCTCTCATTTTCTGTCTTCCCTGTCACCATGTAAGATGTGCCTTTTGCCCTCCACCATCATTGTGAAAGGCATGTGGATTCCCCAGCCATGTGGAACTGTGAGTCCATTAAACCTCTTTTTCTTGATAAATTACCCAGTCTTGGGTATGTCTTTATCAGCAGTGTGGGAATGGACTAATACACTAAGGCAGTAGGGAAAAGCACTGAGCAGAGATCCCATCAGGAGCCTGTCATGACTCATATGATACCATATTAAAATGCTCAGCTTATGCTTCCTGTCTACATCAAAGCCCTGTGAGAACTAAGATACAGTCTACCTCCTATGGAGCCCCAGCCCCAGCTCATAGTAGGTCCTTGATAGCTATTTGGTGAATAAATGGGTAAAGAATAGATGAAATCCTGCTGTGGTCTCCAAGGCTCTGTGATCTGGCCCTTGCCCCTTTCTCCAACCTCATCATGCTTCACTCTCACCATTGTTCTTATCACATTGCCTTCCTCCAAGCCTTTGAAAATGCCAAACTGTGACTTCTAGTGTAGGGGTTGGCAAACTACTGCCTTTGTGACAAATCCTTCCTGCTTATTTTTATAAATAAGTTTTATTGGAACACAGCCATACCCTCTTGTTTATGCATTGTCGACAACTGCTTTAGTGCTATAACGGCAGAGTAGAGGAGTCATGACACAGCCCATACAATACAGCCTGTGAAGCCCAAAATATTCACTATCTGGCCCTTTACAAAAAAAAGTTTACCAACCCCTGCTGTAACTCTTTGAACTTGCTGTGACCTCTGATTTAAAACTCTACCCTCAATGAAGTTACAGTAATCAAAACAGTGTGGTCCTAACATAAAGACAGACATCCAGATCAATGGAATAGAATAGAAAGCCCTGAAATAAACCCTCACACACGGCCAAGTGGTTTTTGACAAAGGTGCCAAGACCATTCAATGGGAAAAGGACAGTCTTTTCAATAAATGGTGCTGGGGAAACTGGATAGCCACATGCAAAAGAATAACATTGGACCCTTACCTTACACCCTATACAAAAATTATCAAAGACACAAAGAGCTAAAACTGCAAAACTCTTAGAAGATAACGTAGGGGAACGCTTCATGACGTTGGCTGTGGCAGTGATTTCTTGGGTATGACACCAAAAGCACAGGCAACAAAATAAAAATTAGATAAATTGGACTTCATCAAAATTAAAAAAAATTTAAAACTTTTATGCATCAAAGGAGGACACTTTTGGCCCAGTGTGGTGGTGCGCACCTATAGTCCCAGCTATTCTAGAGGCTGAAGCAGGAGGATTGCTTGAGCCCAGGAAGTCGAGGTTGCAGTGAGTCATGATCACGCCACTGCATTCCAGCCTGGGCAACAGAGAGAGACCCTGTTTCAAAAAAAAACAAACAAAAAAGAGGACACTTTTTACTTGTCTTTTATCTTCTGCTTTTTGTTTTTTGTTTTTGAGACAGGGTCTTACTCCCATTGCCCAGGCTGGGGTGCAGTGACACCATCTCGGCTCATTTCAGCCTCAACTTCCCCAGCTCAGGTGATCCTCCCACTTTAGCCTCCCTAGGAGCTGGGACTACAGGCACCCACCACCACACCCAGATAATTTTTTGTATTTTTTAGTAGAGAAGGGGTTTTGCTCTGTTGCCCAGGCTGAGCTCAAGTGATCCACCTGCCTTGGCTTCCCAAAGTGCTAGGATTACAGGCGTGAGCCACTGTGCCCAGTCTAGACACTTTCAAGAGAGTTAAAAGACAACCCACAGAATGGGAGAAAATTACATATTTGATAATGGCTTCATATCCAGAATATATAAAGAACTCCTACAGCTTAACAACAAAAAAATGATTAAAAAGTAGGCAAATAATTTGAATAGACATTTCTTCAAAGAAAATATATAAATGGCTAATAAGCACATGAAAAGATGCTCACCATCACTAGTCACTAGGGAAATACAGGTCAACCCATAATGAGATACCACTTTACCCCAATAAGGATGGCCATTATTTGAAAAAAAAAAAAAATGCCTTTCTGGTAGTTCTGACCTCCCCATGTGAACATACCTCCTACAAAAAAATCTCCTTCATCCCTCTCCAGATGAGGAAAAGAGGAAATACAAGAAGTGCCTGGTACAGAGCTCCAGTTCCTACTTCAGGGATGTGAAATGCCCAGGATGCTGTAATCATCATGATCATTAATCATGCACACACAGTAGTGGTGTGTGTTCGCTGCTTGTATTAGTCCATTCTCACACTGCTATGAAGAAATACCTGAGACTGGGTAATTTATAAAAGAAAGAGGTTTAATTGACTCACAGTTCCACAGGGCTGGGGAGCCCTCAGTAAACTTACAATCATGGCAGAAGGGGAAGCAAACACATCCTTCTTCACATGGCAGCAGCAAGAAGTGCAGAGTGAGGGGGTGGAAAGGCCCTTATAAAACCATCAGATCTCATGAGAACTCACTGTCACGAGAACAGCATGAAGGTAACTGCCCTCATGATTCAATTACCTCCCACTGGGTCCCTCCTGTGACATGTGGGGATTATGGGAACTATAATTCAAGATAAGATTTAGGTGGGGATACAGCCAAACCATATGATTCCTCACCTGACCCTCCCAAATCTCATGTCCTCACATTTTAAAACACAATCATGCCCTTCCAACAGTCCCCCAAAGTCTTAACTCATTCCAGCATTAACCCAAAAGTCCAAGTCCTAAGTCTTATCTGAGAAAAGGCAAGTCCCTTCCACCTATGAGCCTGTAAAATCAAAAGCAAATTAGCTGCTTCCTATATACAATGGGGGTAATGGCATTGGGCAAATACACCCATTCCAAATGGGACAAATTGGCCACAATGAAGGGGCTATAGGCCCATGCAAGTCTGAAATCCAACTGGGCAGTCATTAAACCTTAACATTCCAAAATGATCTCCTTTGACTTCATGTCTCATATCCAAGTCACCCTGATGGAAGAGGTAGGTTCCCATGGCCTTGGGCAGCTCTTCCTCTGTGGCCTTTCAAGGTATAGCCCCCTCTTCCAGCTGCTTTCGTGGCTGGTGTTGAGTGTCTGCAGCTTTTCCGGGTGCATGGGGCAAGCTGTTGGTGGATCTACCATTCTGGGGTCTGGAGGATGGTGGCCTACTTCTCATAGCTCCACTAGGCGGTGCCCCACTGGGGACTCTGTGTGGGGGCTCCAACCCCACATTTCCCTTCCATGCTGCCTGTATTAGTCCATTTTCACACTGCTGATAAAGACATACCCGAAACTGGGCAATTTACAAAGGCAAGAGGTTCAATGGCAAACTCACAGTTCCACATGGGTGGGGGAGCCTCAATCATGGCAGAAGGCCAGGAGTAGCAAGTCACATCTTATGTGGATGGTGGCAGGCAAAGAGAGAGCTTGTGCAGGGAAACTTCTATTTTTTTTAAACCCTCAAATCTCATGAGACTCATTCACTATCACGAGAACAGCGGCCCACGATTCAGTGACCTCCCACCAGGTCCCTCCCACAACATGTGGGAATTCAAGATGAGATTTGGGTGGGGACACAGCCAAACCATATCACTGCCCTAGCAGAGGTTCTCCATGAAGGCTCTGTCCCAGAAGCAGACTTCTGTCTGGACATCCAGGCATTTCCATACTTCCATACATTTCCTCCAAAATGTAGGCGGAGGTTCCCAGACTCAATTCTTGACTTCTGCACACCTGCAGGCCCAACACCATATGGAAGCTGCCAAGGCTTTGGGGCTTACACCCACTGAGGCAATGGCCTGAGCTATACGTTGGCCCCTTTAGCCACAGATGGAGTGGCTGGGATGCAGGGCACCAAGTCCCAAGGTTGCACATAGCAAGAGGGCCCTGGACCTAGCCCAGGAAACCACTTTTCCCTCCTAGTCTTCAGGGACTGTGATGGGTTGGGCTGCTGTGAAGGTCTCCGACATGTCCTAGAGACATTTTCTCCATTGTCTTGGTGATTAACATTCAGCTCCTTGTTACTTATGCAAATTTCTTCAGTGTGCTTGAATTTCTCCCCAGAATAAGGGTTTTCTTTTCTATTGCATCATCAGGCTGCAAGTTTTCCAAACTTTTATGCTCTGCTTCCTCTTGAATGCTTTGCTGCTTAAAAATTTCTTCCACCAGATACCCTAAATCATCCCTCTCAAGTTCAAAGTTCCACAGATCTCTAGGGCAGGGACAAAATGCCACCAGTCTTGTTGCATAGCAAGAGTGACCTTTACTCCAGTTCCCAAGAAGTTCCTCATCTCCATCTGAGACCACCTCAGCCTGCACTTTATTGTCCATATCACCATCAGCATTTTGGTCAAAACCATTTAAAAAGTCTCCAGGAAGTTCCAAACTTTCCCACATCCTCCTGTCTTCTAAGCCGTCCAAATCTCTAGGAAATTCCAAACTTTCCCACATTTTCCTGTCTTCTTCTGAGCCCTCCAAACTGTTCCAGTCTCTGCCTGTTACCCAGTTCCAAAGTCGTTTCTACATTTTTGGGTATCCTTATAGCAGCAACCCACTCTCTGCGGTACCAATTTACTGTATTAGTCCGTTCTCATGCTGCTATGAAAAAATACCCGAGACTGAGTAGTTTATTTTTATTTTATTTATGTATTTATTTTGAGACACAGTTTCATTCTTGCCTAGGCCGGAGTGCAGTGGCATGATCTCAGCTCACTACAACCTCTGCCTCCCAGGTTCAAGCGATTCTTGTACCTCAGCCTCCCTAGTAGCTGGGATTACAGGTCCACACTAACACACCTGTCTAATTTTTGTATTATTAGTAGAGATGGAGTTTCACCATGTTGGCCAATCTGATCTTGAACTCCTGACCTCAAGTGATCCGCCCACCTTGGCCTCCCAAAGTGCTTGGATTACAGGCTTGAGCCACTGTACCCAGCCAGAGACTGGGTAATTTATAAACGGAAGAGGTTTAATGGACTCACAGTTCTACAGGGCTGGAGAAGCCTCAGGAAGCTTACAATCATGGCAGAAGGGGAAGCAAACATGTCCTTCTTCACATGGTATCAGGAAGGAGAAGTGCTGAGCAAAGAGGGGTGGGAAAGTGCCTTATAAAACCATCAGATCTCATGAGAACTTACCATCACAAGAACAGCATGAGGGTAACCACCCGCATGATTCAATTACCTCCCACCAGGTCCTTCCCATGACACATGGGGATTATGGAAACTACAATTCAAGATGAGATTTGGGTAGGGACATAGCCAAACCATATCACTGGTCTACCGTTCTCTGTCAGTCTACAGGAGGCAAAGCAAGGCTGACAGAAGGATGCTCCTTCAGGAGGAAGCAGCAGTAAAAGCACTTTGAATCAAGATAAATGGGAAGCCACCCCAATAAACACATTTTAGATATTTTAGAAAAAGAAAGAAATACACACACAAATTGAAAATAACAATTGTTGGCAAGAATGTGGAGAGATTGGAACTCTTGTGCACTGTTGGTGGAATGTAAAATGGTGTAGCTACTGTGGAGAACAGTATGGTGCTTCCTCAAAAAACTAACCATAGAATTACCATACAATCCCACAATTCCACTTCTAGATATATACCCAAAAGAACTGAAAGCAGAGGCTCAGACAGATGTTTATACACAGCAGCATTATTTACAACAGCCAAAAGTGGAAGCAACCCTAATGTTCATCAACTGTTGAATGAATAAACAAAATGTGGTATACACAGAGAATGGAGGATTATGCAGCCTCAAAAGGGATGAAAATTCTGACTGCAGCATGAATGAACCTTGAAGACATTATGCTAAGAGAAATAAGGACAAATACTACATGATTCCACTTATATTAGGTAGTGAGGGTAGTCAAATTCATAGAGACAGAAAGTAGAATGGTTGCCACTGAGGACAGGGTGGAGTGAAGAGTTGTTTAATGGGCAAGAAGTTTCAGTTTGGAAGATGAAAGAAGTTCTAGAGATGGATGGTAGTGATGGTTGCACAGCAATGAATATACTTAATGCCATAAAACAGTACACTTAAAAACTATTTGAGCCTGTAATCCCAGCACTTTGGGAGGCCGAGGCGGGTGGATCACGAGGTCAGGAGATCGAGACCATCCTGGCTAACATGGTGAAACCCCATCTCTACTAAAAATACAAAAAAAAAAAAAAATAGCCAGGCGTGGCACTGTGCGCCTGTAGTCCCAGCTGCTGGGGAGGCTGAGACAGGAGAATGGCGTGAACCTGGGAGGCGGAGCTTGCAGTGAGCGGAGATCGCGCCATTGCACTCCAGCCTGGGTGACAGAGCAAGACTCGGTCTCAAAAAAAAAAAAAAAAAAAAAAATTTGAATGGTACATTTTTATATTATGAATATTTTACCACAGTAGAAGAAAATAAAACAACTCTACCCTCAGGTATTTGCATGTCTGCCTCCTACTTATTCTTCACTTTTCTGCTGAAATAGCATGTCCTCAGGGAAGCCTCTCCTATTGCTCTATGTAATTTCCTTGTAGAACATATCACTGTCTGAAATTACCTTTTTTATACGTGCTATCATCTGTCTTCTCCATTGGAATATAAGCTTTTCGAGCATAAGATCTTTGCTTTATTCAAAGCTGTATCCTAACACTTCGTTTTTGTCACATGGTAGCTATTCAGTGAATACTTGCGGAACAGTGTACTGAGAAAAAAGAAAGGGCTCCACCTGGAGGTTGTGTTAGTAAATGTACTTTGTGGGAATTTTAAATGTACAATACTCAAAAGTAAAAATCAAACTGAACATTTAACTTCAAAGCAGTATTAGCCGTGATAGTGGAGTGAGAAGTCATGAAGAAAAGTGTACAAGCACCTCTGTGTAAAATATTTCCCTTTTCACATCAACTCCCTGCTTAGGTTCCCAATTCCCAGGACCTCAGCAGTTCCCGTATTTCCTTTCTATGTATCGCCTGTTCATTTACCTACCGTCAATGGCTGCTTTGGTGCTACAATGCCAATATAGAGTGATTGGAAAAAGACTGCATGGCCCACAAGCCTAAAATATTCACTATCTGGCCTTTTACAGAAAAAGTTTACCAACCAACCAATGATGTAGGTAAAGATAATAGACTAGAGATATTGTCTACTCTTCTCTGAGAACTTTCATGATAGTCATTCAAGTCAATCAAGAAATGTTTATTGGGATTGGAGACTATTATTCTAAGTAACTCAGGAATGGAAAACTGAACATTGCATGTGCGTACGTTCTCACTCATAAGTAGGGGCTAAGCTATCAGTATGCAAAGGCTTAAC
This sequence comes from Homo sapiens, assembly GCF_000001405.40. Lineage (NCBI taxonomy): Eukaryota > Metazoa > Chordata > Mammalia > Primates > Hominidae > Homo > Homo sapiens. The sequence continues at coordinate 88,218,631 of NC_000004.12, read as the reverse complement.
AGTGGACTTTGGGGACTCAGGGGAAAGGGTGGGAAGGGGGTGAGGGATAAAAGATTGCAAATTGGGTTCAGTGTGTACTGCTTCGGTGATGGGTACACCAAAACTTCACAAATCACCACCAAAGTACTTACTCATGTAACCAAATACCACCTGTTCCCCAAATCTTAGGGAAATAAAAAATTAATTAAAAAACAAGAGAAATGTTTACTGAGTTCCTACTATGTTTCCAGCACTGCGTTAGTCACTAGGGATAGAACAGTGAATGAAATAGAAATACCTGCTGTTATGAAGCTCACTTTCTAGACGGAGGAGGACAAATAATAAACAATAAACAAATAAATAATGTATGTTAGACGGTGAGAAGGGTTACAGACAGATGCATAGTAAGAAGTAATCAGGAAGGCAAAGAAAGGTTTTGCAATTTTAAACAGAGTGGTTGGGGTAGGCCTTGTTAAGAGGTTGACATTTGAGCAAATATTTGAAGAAAGACTGAGAGGGAATGAAGATATCATCTGGGAGGAAAGTATTTCAGGTAGAGGGAACGGAGGCAGGAACATGTCTAGCGTGCTAGAGAAACACCTGGGAGACCAGTGAGGATAGCAGAAACATTCTACCTGGGTTCTCACACTCGTGTGTTCCTTTTTTTTTTTTTTTTTTTAATTTTTAGAAACATCGTCTTACTCTGTCAACCAGTCTGGAGTGCAGTGGCATGATCATAGCTCACTGCAGCCTCAAACACCGGGGCTCAAGCAGTCCTTCCACTTCAGTCTCCTAAGTAGTTGGGACTACAGGAACATGCTACTGTGCACTGCTAATATTTTATTTTTAGAGTCTGGGTCTATGTTGCCCAGGGTAGCCTTGAACTCCTGGCTTCAAGAGACCCCGCTGCCTCACCTTCCCAGAGTGCTGGGATTACAGGCATGAGCCACCATGTTTAGTCCCATGCATCCATGCATTCTTTTTTTTTTTTGAGGCAGGGTCTCATTCTGTTGCCCAGGCTGGAGTGCTGTGGCGTGATCTTGGCTCACTGCAACCTCCACCTACTGGGTTCAAGCAATTCTCCCTCCTGAGCCTCCTGAGTAGCTGGGACTATAGGCACACACCACCACACCTGGCTAATTTTTGTAATTTTTAGTAGAGACAGGGTTTCGCCATATTGGCCAGGCTGGTCTTGAACACCTGACCTCAAGTGATCTGCTCACCTCGGCCTCACAAAGTGCTGAGATTATAGACATGAGCCACCGCGCCTGGCCTCCATGCATTCTTGTTATGTGCAAATATTGACTGCTGGTTTAAGGTATCTTCCCCTTCCTGTAGGACAACATCCCAACCTTGCAGGGTATCCCTGCTCACACTATAATTAAGCCTTAGGCAGGCCAATTCACTGTTCTATCAAGCCAGCTGCTCTGTAAGATCTAGGTATATACTGAATTTTGAGAATATGAGACTTCTTTTACCATAATATATGCCCATGATCATGGACGATATTATATGGAATACTAAGGCAACAGATAAGGCATTCTGTAACTTCATAACAGTGGTATTAGTAGAAGCTCTGCAGGCAGGGAATAAAATGTAAAAAAAAAATTTTTTTTTTTTTTGAGACGGAGTCTTGCTCTGTCACCCAGGCTAGAGTGCAGTGGCATGATCTTGGCTCACTGCAACCTCCACCTCCCGGGTTCAAGTGATTCTCCTGCCTCAGCCTCCCGAGTAGCTGGGATTACAGGTGCCCACCACCACGCCCAGCTAATTTTTGTATTTTTAGTAGAGAGGGGGGTTTCGCCATTTTGGTCAGGCTGGTCTTGAACTCCTGACCTCAGGTGATCTGCCCTCCTCGGCCTCCCAAAGTGCTGGAATTACAGGTGTGAACCACTGCGCTTGGACACAGTGCAAAATTTTATCCAGAATATGTAGCTATTCCTGAGAAGATAAAAGGCTGTTCCTTTCATGTTGGGAAAAGTTCACACAATCAGCTACTACTAGGTGGCCATCTGGTCACCCCGGACAATAGTGCCTTATCAGCGGCTTAGTGTTGACTTTGGCTGTTGGTCAACGGGACATTCAGCAGTAGGTATAGTTACAGCAGCCTTGGTGAGGGAAAACCATGTTATTAGCTCACACGTAGCTTCCTTCCATGCTGGCACAGTTTGCACACGGAGCCACTGAACAAGCACTGGGATACCTGGAGAAAGAGGCTTACTGACATTCACAAAATAGATCATCTTGATCATTTGATTTTTGAGAACCTCCACCATCGTGATACAATCTACTGGATGTACACGCGGCACAAAAATATTCCCACCCTCTGTGTCCATTCCAAAAGGTCCATGCATAGTCCATCTAATCACCAATTTTTCAATTAGTTGTTTTCAAGTCTCCAGCCAGCCAGCCAATCCAGTAGCCACGGCTCATAAGTCACTAGAGATCTTTGTGCCTTAAGCATGAAGTAAACAGCCAGATATATCGCTCAAGGTTCTGTCCACTGGGAGGATTTCCCTTCAGCACAGTCTTTAACAGTCACACCTAAGTGGGTTTAACAGTCTCGCCTAAGTGTAGTCGTCCCCTTCTTGTCAGTGTCAGCATCATTTTGAGATCCATAATGTGCAAGCTAGCCCCCATAACAAAGAAATACCCTGCCCAAAATGTCAGTGGGGCCAAGGTTGAGAGAAACACTGGTTTGAAGGAAGATTCATGATATTCATCAGTGGATGGAAGAGCTTTCAGTCTCCTAACTGACATAGGTCTGGGAATTAGGTACAACGCACAATTTGGCAACTCGAGTTAGGTTTCTGCCTAACGGACCTAGATTTTTTTCTGCCTAGATGTCAAGCAGCATCTTAGGAAGCAGCGAATTAATGATTTTTCAGGACCCCATCATCCATTAGCCCTTGCCAGGGGGCACAGCAGATCAAAGCAGTTCGATTACTATTCCATCTCTGTGGTTTACTGTGGTAGTTGCACCATGTTGTCCCTAACAGTGAAGTTACTACTTGGCCTTTGACATGCCAGGACCCCATTATTCCCACTGAAATGAAAGCACACATTTTCACTGCAGCCTTGTCCAGCAACAGCTGTGACCTACAGTGCTCCTTGAGGATGCTAGTCCCTGACTCACTAGTGCATTTCCTTATGTCTTAGTGAAAGGAGAGTTTTTTGAATCCTCCCAAAAGAGTCAAGTTAGTAAATGGCTGAGAAGATTGAACATAATGGACCGAGTCCTATTTCCTTGAATTTTGTAACTCTTTGTCTATAATATGTTAGGAAATTTCTGGCATTTCAACCTCATTAACTCCAAACTATCATTGAGTCCAGGATTTCATTGGCTAACTTTTTCAGACTGTTAGGACCATCCCCAGTACTCCAGCCAACATGCTATATTCTAAATCCTGGGGGAGTACACTCAGGTCAATTAATTTGGCTTGAATATTATACTTTATCCCCATTGGTCTAACACCCTTATAATTTACACTCTCAGCTCTTCCCCAGTCTTCTTCTGATTCTGGCAAAGTCATGCAACTCTCTTTTTTTTCCAAAATTTTTTTAAGACTGTCTCATTCTGTCACCCAGGCTGGAGTGCAGTGACATAATTATGGCTCACTGAAACCTCAACGTCCTGGGCTCAAGTGATCCTCCTGCCTCAGCCTCCCATATAGCTGGGACTACAGGTGTGCACCATGTTGCATGGCTAATAATTTTTTAAATTTTTGTAGGCCAGACATTGTGGCTCTCGCCTATAATCCCAACACTTTGGGAGGCCAAGGCAGGAGAATCACTTGAGCCCAGGAGTTGAGTTCAGTCTAGGCAACATAGCAAGACCTAATCTCTACAAAAACAAACAAGCAAACAAACAAAAACAGATTTGAGTGCGGTGGCATGTACCTCTGGTCCAGCTACTTGGGAGGCTGAGATGGGAGAATCGTTACAAAAAAACTTTTTTTTGTAGAGATGGGATCTTTGTTGCCCAAGCTGGTCTTGAACTCCTGGGCTCAAGTGATCCTCCTGCCTCAGCCTACGGAAGTGCCAGGATTACAGGCAGGACCCACCACACCTGGCTCAACTCTCTTAGTATATAGATTCTGTCTTCTCCTAGAGAAGACCTGCACTGCTCTCTCTGGCATATTGTTCCAGTTATCTATCCCTACCTAACAAACCACTCTAAAACTTAAAGGCTTAAAACAATTTGTCATGTGTCTCATCGTTCTGATTGGAGTGGATTTGAGAGAGAATGGGGGAGGGATTGGAGAAGTGAGTATCTTTTGAAGAGTTTTGTTGTAAAAGAGAACAAAACGATAGAGCAGTAGTTGGAAGATGTGGAATCAAGAGGAATATTTTTGAGGATGGGGGAAATAGATAACAGTGGGCTAGTGGTGGTAATCCCAGCACTTTGGGAAGCTGAGGCGGGTACACTGCTGGAGCCCGAGTTTGAGACCAGCCTGGGCAACATAGCAAGACCTTGTCTCTACAAAAAATACAGAAATTAGCCAGGCATGGTTGTATGCGCCTGTAGTCCCACTTACTTAGGAGGCTGAGGTAGGAGGACCACTTGAGCCCAGGAGTTCAAGGCTTCAGTAAGCTATGATTGCACCACTGCACTCTAACCTGGGCGACAGAATGAGACTCTGTCTCAAAAAAAAAAAAAAAAAAAAAAAGGCCGGGCGTGGTGGCTCATGGCTGTAATCCCAGCACTTTGGGAGGCTGAAGTGGGCACAGATCACAAGGTCAGGAGATCAAGACCATCCTTGCCAACATGGTGAAACCCCATCTCTACTAAAATACAAAAAATTAGCTGGGCACGGTGGCAGGTGCCTATAGTCCCAGCTACTCCGGAGGCTGAGGCAGGGGAATCGCTTGAATCCGGGAGGCGGAGGTTGAAGTGAGCCAAGATCGCACCACTGCACTCTAGCCTGGAGACAGAGCAAGACTCTGTCTCAAAAACAAACAAAAAGAAATATAGCATGTTTATACTGTGGGGAAACAAATCAGTGGAGAGGAATATATATATATATTCACACACATATATATACATATATATACAATGATATAGAAGAGAAAGGGGAAAAGTGCTGTTATTGAGTTAGGAAAAAGGGGATGAGACTTCATGCAAAGTAGAGACATTGCCTTAGGCCTTAGTAACATGGGCAGTTCCTCTAGGGTAGGGTAATAGGAGAGAAGGCAGCAGATGCAGGTGGGTGGGCAGATACGGTGAACAGAATCTGAAGTTCTCTTTTACTTACTTCAGTTTTCTCAGTCAAGTAGGACATAAGGTTATCATCTGAGAATGACTATGGGAGGGGAAAGATGAAAATGTTTCGGTGTTGAAATAGGAAACAGAAGAGTGAATGGGCTAGGGAAGTACAGTATGAGTTGTCAGGCATTACTGAGGGTCCCGGCATTGAGATTCTTGATCAAGAATTTAAAATCAGATAATTACAGGTCTTTGTGGCTCAAGCCAGTAATCCCAACAGTTTGAAAGGCTAAAGTGGGAAGATTGCTTGAGCGCAGGAGTTTGAGACCAGCCTGGGCAATACAGTGAGACCCCGTCCCTACAAAGAATTTTTAAAAATTAGCTGGGTGCGGTGGCATTCATTGGTAGTCCCAGCTACTCAGGAGGCTGAGGTGGGAAGATCATTTGGGCCCCAGAGTTCAAAGGCTGAAGTGGGCTAAGATCTCGCCACTGCACTCTCCAGCCTGGGTAACAGGGCAAAACCCTGTCTCAAAAAAAATAAAAATTCAAACACAAAATCAAATAATTTATTATTCTTATGTGTTTTTCTCCACCCACGTTCAACTGCAGGGGTACAGGCACAGAGCAGGGGAGACAGGAATTTAAGTAGGGTTTGTGGTTTTGCCAAGCGAGTGACAAAGCAAAAGGGGAGCAGAGGAGCTGAGGGCATTTGCAAGGATGTAATTATAATGATCATGGAATTTCGGCAGGTATGGTGACTAAAGAAAGCAGTGAGGGGTGAGGCACAGTGAAATACTGGTGTAATTAATGGGTTTTAGGCCCTGGTGGAGCAAGGTCAAAGGTTTGCCGGAGTTGGGTTATTAGAGGGGTTTAGGTGGAAAGATAGACTATGCTTACAAGTTCTATGGCATGACCTGCAAGTACATAGGTAACGCAGGGTGGAGAACAAGATCACTGAAGGAGAGAAGTTCAAGGTAGTCAGAGGCCAGAGTGCTGGGGAGATCGTTTTCGGAGATACTGAATTCACCAAGAATTAAGACAGAAGTAGTGTCACAGAGAGTGACAGTACCAGGGGCTACAATTACTGATACAGGCGGGAGATGCTTCTGAAATCTGAAGATGGCAGCAACCATGCAGGGGTAGTCAGTGTTAAAGTGTAATGACATGAAATTCAAAGCTGAGATCTTCTGGGGAAAGTTATTAGATGATCCACTTTGGGATGTTCATATTTTTTGGTAGTCGCTCATCTCAGAATAAGCAATATCAGAAAGTGAAATTTTAATCACAAGAGGGCGCCAGAGTCCAGCAAATGATTACTTTTGGTTTTCACCTAAAGCTAGGGCAATCATACTTTTGAGAGAGGAAGAGGCCACTACTAATAATTATTTGGGGGCGGTATGTGTAAATTGGGACATAGACTCACACCTTCTCCTACACTATGTAAGCATGGGCAATTTAAGAATGAACTAGCTGTGCACCAAAAGCTCTAATTCCCATAAATCACTCGAAATGCTTTTGACTGCAATCAGGTAAGACAAAAATGGCCAAACTTGATTTTATCTGGAAGAGAGGCTTGAGAAAGACTTTCCCCTCTGGCCCACATCTCTAGTTCTATTTATTGCTTATCCCGTTTTTCCCTTTAGTGCAGTACCGGTTTGACTGTATCTTCAAGTTAAGAGAATTGCTGTATTCCCCAAAATATCTTGGTCATTTGAAAGTAAAGAGTTCTCGGCCGGGCACAGTGGCTCACGCCTGTAATCCCAGCACTTCAGAAGGCAAAGGTAAGCGGATCACGTGGTCAGGAGATCGAGCCCATCCTGGCTAACACAGTGAAACCCCGTCTCTACTTAAAATACAAAAAAATTACCCAGGTGTGGTGGTGTACTCCGGTAGTCCCAGCTACTCAGGTGTCTGAGGCAGAAGAATCACTTGAACCTGGGAGGCGGAGGTTGCAGTGAGCGGAGATCGCGCCATTGCACTCCAGCCTGGACAACAGAGTGAGACTCCATCTCAAAAAGAAAATTAAAACGAAAACATGATGATGGAAATAACAGACACTGGGGTCTCCAAAAGTGGGGGGGGGTGGGGCAGGGGTTGAACAATTACCTATCAGGTACAATGTTCACTATTTGGACATTGGGTACACTAGAAGCTCAGTCCCCACCAGTATGCAATCTGCTTATGTAACAAACAAGCACGTGCAACCCTGAATCTAAAATAAAATAATTTTTAAAATACACAATGAAAGTGGCTTTTGTTAAGTCCCCTGTTTAGCACATCCTCTCCTTAATTAGCCAAACTACTCTCTCTTCTTCTTTTACATATATATATATATTTTTTTTATTTTTTAATTTTTTTAGGGACCAAGCCTCTCTGTGTTGCCCAAGCTAGAGTGCAGTGGTTAATCCCTGGTGCAGTCACAGGGCACTACAGCCTCGAGTTCCTGGCCCCAAGAAATCCTCTCACCTCATTCTCCTGAGTAGCTGGGAATACAGGGGCAGAACATGGCATCTGCGCCTCTTCTTAACAAATGCAAATAAAATCAACTCTGGCTTCTGTTATTCCTTGAAAAAAATGTATGTATGGGTCAGGTGTGGTGGCTTATGCCTGTCATTCCAGCATTTTGGGAAGAAGCTAGGAGTTCGAGACCAGTGTGGGCAACAAAGCAAGACTGTCTCTATAAAATATTAGCCAGTTAATGGTGGCAAGTGCCTATATTCCCAGGTACTCAGGGGCTGAGGTGGGAGAATTGCTTGAACCTAGGAGTTTGAGGCTGCAGTGAGCTATGATTGTACCACTGCACTCCAGCCTGGGCAACAGAGCAAGATCCCATCTCTTAGAAAAAAAAAAAGAAAAGAAAAAGTATGTATTTATAGCTACCAGCACACTTTTAACTATATGGGGCTTATTTCTACCATTCTTTTTGTTTTAGAACAACATCCTTCATCCTCACTGAATGGGATGAATGTAAATAGGACCTCAAGAAAATAAGGCAAAGGTAAGGCTGCTGGGGAGAGCATTTCAAAATAAACTACAAATAGATTTTACAATTTATTTTACTCTCCTTCAACGAACACAAAAATATTGCATTACTAGCCAGGCACAATGGTGCCTGCCTCCAGTCCCAGCCACTGGAGGCTGAGGTGGGAAGGTTGCTTGAGCTCAGGAGTTCCAGTCCAGCTTAGGCAACATAGAGAGGCACTGTCTTAAACGTATATATGTATATGTGTGTGTGTGTGTGTGTGTGTGTGTGTGTGTGTGTAGGATTACTTACATTACTGACATCTTTAACCTAATTATATCTAATTCAATCAAAACATTTTATTACCAACTTATATGTGCATGAGCATTCTACACCTGTAGGAATACCCACAAGGTAATAGTCTTATACAGGATGCTTAGGGTGTTTTGTTTTGTTTTGTTTTATAGGACACATCTTTAAGATGCATTCAAAGAGTGATCTACCACTAGGGTACAAAAGCAAAAAACGTATTCAGTCAAAAATAACTGACAACTGGGGAAAATGGTGAATAGCAGAGAAGATTCTGTTTATTAGTTTTATCTTTAGGTTATCTTTGGCAAAGGAAAAGCACAGTATATTGCTACTACCACGTAGCTTGAATCTAAAACTTATCATTACTTATTATTTTATATAACATTGCCAACACCAACACAACCCCTGCTAATCAAACTGAAAAATTTTCTTTCACTTAAAATTTTTATTTTTTACTTATAGAAAGAGGTATGAACTTTGTTTTTTGTTTTTGTTTTGTTTTTTGTTTTTTTTTGAGACAGAGTCTTGCTCTCACCCAGCCAGGCTGGAGTGCAGTGGCATGACATCAGCTCACTGCAACCTCCGGCTCCCAGGTTCAAGCGATTCTTCTGCCTCCTGAGTAGCTGGGATTACAGGCGCTCACCACCACGCCTGGATAATTTTTGTATTTTAGTAGAGATGGGATTTCACCATGTTGGCCAGGCTGGTCTCAAACTCCTGACCTCAGGTGATCCATCTGCCTCAGCCTCTGAAAGTGCTGGGATTATAAGTGTGAGCCACCGCATCCGGTCTGAATTTTGTTTTTATTTATTTTGTTTTTTTTGGTGTTTCTTGTTTGCTTTTTTGTTTTTTTTTTTTTTTTTGAGATGGAGTCTCGCTCTGTCGCCCAGGCTGGAGTGCAGTGGTGCCATCTCTGCTCACTGCAAGCTCTGCCTCCCTGGTTCAAGTGATTCTTGTGCCTCAGTCTCCTGAGTAGCTAGAATTGTAGGTGTGTGCGACCACACTTAGCTAATTTTTGTATTTTTAGTAGAGACAGGGTTTCGCCATGTTGGCCAGGCTGGTATTGAACTGACCTCAGGTGATCCGACTGCCTCGGCCTCCCAAGGTGCTGAGATTATAGGCTTAAACCACTGCACCTGGCCAAGGTATGAACTGTTTTGTTTTGTTTTTTTTGAGACAGTCTCGCTCTGTCACCCAGGCTGGAGTGCAGTGGTGTGATCTCGCCTCACTGTAACCTCCGCCTCCCAGGTTAATTGGTTAAGACCAATTTTGTCAGTCCAATTTCAAATGTTATAATTAAATAAGTAATTTAGGCTTTTGATTTAAAGTTGCAATACCACAAGTTTGGAGAAAATAGTGGGACACTTGAAATAAGTTAGGTTGGCCATATTTATGGATTCAATTTATTTGCTTTGTCTGGGTTGATTGAGCACTTGGGAAAGTTCAGTTTTTTAAATTAAAAAATGGAAGTACCTTGGTATGCAGAAAAAAGTTAACAGAGCAGATCTGTTTGAGGCTGCTATCCCTAGAAAGCCCTGCTTTTGAGCTTGATTCTTAGGGAGCATCTGGAAGTTGCTTCACAGTGTCCCCAGTTATCAGTTAACTGATAAGGGTGGGTCACACACTTGCTTTCTTTCCTTCTGAGACTCTGTAATTTTGGTTTCAGAGTGTATCTACCCGACCAGCCCTCCTAAAAACCTTGGGCCCTAAGTCTCTAGTAGAGTTCCCTGGGCCAAAGTATTGCACAAATGTTGCATTTTCATTGCTAGGGGAAGTGTGTGCTCTGTGTGGCCCTTCATGGGAAGGCGAGAGCTTGAGGAAGCTTGCCCATGGATTTCTCCGACTCTCCCTATAGCTTACCCTTATCATCCAGCTATGTATCCTTGCAACATTGTTGTAATAGTAATAAATCTTAGCTATGAGTAGAATGATTATATATACTGAATTATGTAAATTGTTTCGGTGAATCTCTGAACATGGAGGTGGTCTAGGGCAATCCCAATGACACTCTAAAGAACTGGATGTTTTAAACTTCCAAGTACAGTTTAAAGTATTTGGAAATGTTTAATGAACTAAGATTGTAAATTGGACCAAACCATTATTGAGAGATTCCTTGGAAGTGAATACTGAAATTTGCTACACCTACTGATAGAGCAACAGTATTTGTAAACTGAATTTACAGCCCTAAGAAAAAGCAGAGTCTTAAATTTACAACTTTAGTTATCTTATATTGATTTCTAAAATTCACATGAACATTTGAATAGACTTTTCAGCCAACAAAAATATCCTTCATTGTGCCCTGACAGGGATATTGAAAAAAACAAAATGAGGTTGGGTGCGGTGGCTATGCCTGTAATTCCAGCACTTTGGGAGGCTCAGGTGGGAGGACTGTTTGAGCTCAGGAGTTCGAGACTAGCCTGCATAACATAGTGGGACCTCGTCTCTACTAAAAATAAAAAAATTAGCCAGGTATACTGGGGCATGCCTATAGTCTCACCTACTAGAGAGGCTGAGGCAGGAGGACTGCTTGAATGCAGGAGTTCGAGGCTGCAGTGAGCTGAGATTATGCCACTGCACTCCAGCTCTGGGTGACACAGCAAGACTCTGTCTGAAGAGAAGAAAAAGAAAAATATCCCTCGAGGAGATCAAAAAAGCTCAAATTTAATATATCTCAGCACCCAATAGCAGATTTCTTGTCCTCGAACAGAAAGACTTCTTTTCCAGTTGTCCACAGTTTCATATCACTAAGATTTCAGTTAAAAAGGAGACTAGGATGTAGACCTGTTTATGCCACGTCACAGGAAACCATATTATACCACTTTACAGAGTCTGCCTCTGATGATAATGTTAAAATGTTATTTAAAAAAAATCAGTAAGTAGGAAGTCCAATTGAACTCATGTAATAGCTGGTAACTCTGTAGTGTTAAAAGCCCAGAAAAAGTTAATAAAAGCTCGTCTTTCTAGTCTTTTAATATTCTTTAATGTTCTAGAGATTTCTCCATTGGATTATGAAGAGTGTGGCAGGGGTCTCAAGTAAAGCAGTAAATACTTGTTATGCATAAAAATGCACTGCTTTGAGACTGGGCACATTGGTTCACGCTTGTAATCCTAGCACTTCGGGAGGCCAAGGCGGGTGGATCACCTGAGGTCAGGAGTTGGAAAGCAGCCTGGCCAACATGGTGAAACCCCGTCTCTACTGAAAATACGCAAATTACCTGGGCTGTGGTGGTGAGAGATGAAGCTGGCTGGGCTTCTGGGTCGGGTGGGGACTTGGGGAACTTTTCTGTTAGCTAAAGGATTGTAAATGCACCAATCAGCGCTCTGTGTCTAGCTAAAGTTTTGTAAATGCACCAATCTATGGGACTATTGGGTTTGTTGTTTCAAGAATAAATGTTAAGAGCTCAAAGGAAGACGAGACCACTGTGGGCTAGAGTGGTAGTGAAGAAACACTTCATGGAGAAGGTGGGCCTGGATCTAGGTATTAAAATTAATACATTGGATTTAAAAATATGACAACGGGGAACGGCATGAGTAGCAAGTGTGTGAACGAAGGATGGAAGTGAGAAAATAAGAGGCATGATTATGAGATGCCTAGCTGTCTTAGAAAAGAAGAGTGGGGAGTGTTGTATGAAAGGACAGAAGGTTAACACTTCTCTTGACAAGGATGGAAGAGGCCCTCGGGCCTGACAACAAGCACACAGTTAAGGCATTGCCACCTACTTCATGGCATCCAACTATCATTTTTATTTTATTTTTTTCAATGAAACAACTACAAAAAAATTTTTAAAAAAAGAAGAAAAAGAGTGGAAAAAGGCTGTGTAGTATCAGGATGTGGTGGCCGTGCTTCTAAGGGTCAGGAGTTTGGACTTGATTCATTTATTTTTTTAAGACAGGGTCTTTCTGTATTGCCCAGGCTGGTGTTGAACTCCTGGCTTCAAGCAAAGCTCCCACCTTGGCCTCCCAAAATGCTGGGATTACAGGACACCGCGCCTGGCCAGGACTTGATTCTTTCAGTTGGGAGAAGAACTAGCAGATTTTCAACAGGCAACAATATGAAGAAAGAGTTTGATAGTTCTAGAATAAAGATTATACTGGAGACAGGGTACAGGACAGTTTAGATTGGATTAGAGAACGAAGTATTGTCGGCAGAGACTAGCTTGGAAGACAGCCCAGATATAAAATGATAAATGGTGGCTGGGCGTGGTGGCTCACGCCTGTAATTCCAGCACTTTGGGAGGCCGAGGCAGGCGGATCATGAGGTCAAGAGATCGAGACCATCCTGGCCAACATGGGGAAACCCCATCTCTACTAAAAATACAAAAATTAGTCGGGTGTGGTGGCGTGCACCTGTGGTCCCAGCTACTCTGGGGGTTGATGCAGGAGAATTGCTTGAGCCCGGGAGGCAGAGGTTGCAGTGAGCTGAGATCGCGCCACTGCACTCCAGCCTGGGCGACAGAGCAAGACTCCGTCTCAAAAATAAATAAATAAATAAATAAATAAAAGATAAAATGATAAAGGGCTAAGATAAAGTAAGGTTAGAGGTTATGGAGAGAGACAGATTCCTCAAACATTGTAAAGGAAGAACTGATGGGACTGGTGACCACATGCAAAGGATAAGAGTAACTTTATGAAAGTGGAACAGAATGGTAAGTTTTCAGAATAAAGTGTACATCTATGGGTCATTTATATTATAGTTTTTATTTTTAATGCCAAGTTAGTTGGAGTCTGTGTGTATATAGAAAGGTAGTGTGAAAAGAAAAGTTTAGATCCCTACTTTTTCAGAGAAAACAACTTTCAAAACATAATTCAAAACATAATTGGAACACATATCTTAGAGGTTTAATGCTATGCATTTTAAGATTAAGATTAAGACTGTCCTGAGACTTGGAAGAGCAATCTGCTGGAGTGTTTGGAAGACTTTTCAATGATTTTGTAGGGAAAAGCCCAAGTACTAACATCTTTAGTGATTTCACCACACTGTGAAGTTCTCTGCCAGTGGAATTTGAAGGAAATAAAACTACAGGAATTCATTAGACATTTCCTAGTGTGCCCCTGTTGGTAGACGTACTTCAGGAAAAGGTGAACAGCTCCTAGCCAAAGAGGAAGCAGCTTTCAGAAAACAAAGCCAAGAGTAAGAATTGGCAGTACTCTCAAGACACTGAGCAAGTTGTTCAAGACAGTCTGGTCTTCCTGTTTTGTGGGATTTGCAAACATATTTTGCACTTAAATGGCAAATCTTTTGACAGCATAGGACTTTAGTTTCAAGTATATTTTTATACAAGTATATTTTATACACCTACTCTAATAATGAAATTCAAATATTCCCATCCTAATCCCCACTGCCTCCAAAACAATACAATTAATCCTTCTCTGATGGAGAGAATGACAAATTCCCTTCTGCCAAAAGCAACCAGTCTTCTTATTCCTTTAAAACACTGCCAACTATTTCCCTTTATTTTAAGGCAAAAGAACAAATAAAATAAAATGAAGCTTTCTTGCATTACCAAGTAAGGCTAACTGATCTAGGATCTAAAATATACTGAAGATGTGCAAAACTTGTGCATACACTTGGAATTATTGGCAACTGTGAGTGAGTATTTTATGCCTATGCTCTTGGTTATATTGAATATCTATAGCAAAGTTATTCTCCATGTCCAAATGGGACCCTAAACATATATCATCAATATTATATGCTCTGCAGCAGACAACTGCCTGGCTTGAATTCTTTTGTTTGTTTGTTTGTTTGTTTGTTTGAGATGGAGTCTTGCTCTGTCACCAGGCTGGAGTGCAGTGGCACGATCTCGGCTCACTGCAACCTGTACCTCCCAGGTTCAAGCGACTCTCCTGCCTCAGCCTCCCGAGTAGCTGGGACTACAGGCGCCTGTCACCACGCCCGGCTAATTTTTTGTATTTTTACTAGAGACGGGGTTTCACCATGTTGGCCGGGATATTCTCGATCTTTTGACCCCGTGATCTGCCCGCCTCAGCCTCCCAAAGAGCTGGGATTACAGGCATGAGCCACCAAGCCCGGCCGGCTTGAATTCTTTACAGCTGAGGTGTGTTAGGTCTTTGCAAAGCAAACAAAATCATTTCCTACTTGAAGAAAAGAAAACTAGAGAAATGGAAGAGGAAAGAGAAAATTTGCAAAGTGATCAAAAAGGAATAATTATATTTAAAGAGTTACCTTTTCTTTTAAAGTTTGGAGCTGGCATACCTTTGGTCCAGCTGTGGCTTTAAGATTTTCTGGTACAAAAGTAGAGAGTAAGTATTTCAGGGTAATCTGTAAAAAAAAAATATTGTGCCACTGGAATAATTTTATTCCGATAATATCAGAAAAATGTAGTTGCCTTTTGCCTTCTCATGTTTAAGGAAAGTCTTAAACATGAGTTTAAGTTTCTTTCTTTTTTTTTTTTTTTTTGAAACTGAGTTTCGCTGTTGTCACCCAGGCTGGAGTGCAATGGCACGATCTCAGCTCACTGCAACCTCTGCCTCCTGGGTTCAAGCGATTCTCCTGCCTCAGCCTCCCAAGTAGCTGGGATTACAGGCGCCCACCACCACGCCCAGCTAATTTTTGTATTTTTAGTAGGGACAGGGTTTCCCCATGTTGGCCAGGCTAGTCTCGAACTCGTGGCCTCAGGTGACCCAAACTGCGGGGATTAAAGGCATGAGCCACCGCGCCTGGCCTGAGTTTAAGTTTCTTAGGCAAAGCTCTCCAGTTATATTTAAGCTCCAATATTCGAACATTCTAATTAAACCTCTTTGAAGAAATAGTTCTACATGTTGTTAACTATGGAAACCAGCCATGACTGTCAGTTTGCTGGGGCCCTGGATCATTGAATTCAGCTACTAGAATCCACTTGTCATTAACAGTTTACAAAAGCAAAAAGAACAGGAGAGTATTCCTTTCTCTGGTCTTTCCCTCAGTTCTTTCATCTTTTCGCCTCATCCTCAATTCCATCCCCCACTCTCTTCTCACCTCTCCAGTTCTTAGTAATTTGCAATACAATGTTTTGAATTACCCTCAATGCTTTATTGGTTTTAAGTTGGAACCCCATTAAACTGGCATTGTGCTGAACACTAGTTTCATTAAATTAAAGTATAATTTGTGGCATAATAGCAGGCTAATAAAACATTTTTAATTAATTAATTTACATCTATTTAAATGGAAACCTACCCTATTAGTGTAAAGAATTTGGGTGGAAGGGAAAGAGAAAAGGTAAAGTACAGAAAGTTCTGTGCTACTAAACTACTGAAACAAATATTTCTAAAAATATAATCTCTCGAATTTATTTTCTTATTTATTTACTATTTTTAGAGACAGGGTCCCTCTCTGTTGACCTGGCTGGAGTGCAGTGGTGTGATCAAGGCTCACCGTAACCTCCAACTCCTGGGCTCCAGTGATCCTCCTGCTTTAGCCTCCTGAGTAGCTAGGATTACAGGTGTGTACTACTGAGACAGCCAAGTATAAAGGGGTCCCCGGAGAACCTCTGACCAGCCTGTACACTGGGAGAACGGGGTGGAGCCATGGGAAGTTTGAGCCCTTTGCAGTGGGGAGGAGCCTGGACGCTCCTGTTCCCGGGTGGTAACCTGTGATTCAATCTGTGAGGTGAGAGACCAGCTAGCAGAACTCTCACTTTGCTTAGAGTCTCTGTTTCCCCTTTCTCCTTTTCACGCAATAAATTCCATTTTTCTCACCTTTCAAAGTGTCTGCAAGCCTAATCTTTCCTGGTTGTGTGACAAGGACCTTAAGGAGAAAGTCCTACAACACTACCATGCCCAGCTAATTAAAATATACATATATATATATATATATATATAAATAATTGTAGAGATGGGGTCCTCCTATGTTGCACTGGTTGGTCTTGAGCTCCTGGCCTCAAGCAGTCCCCCTGCCTCGACCTCCCAAGGTGATGGGATTACAGATGTGAGTCATCACATAACGCCTAGACTCTCAAATTTCTTGGCCGAAAGTTGACATGGGGCATTATGGGACTTTATCCATTAGTAGCAGGTTGGATGGCAGCCCATGGAATAGTGCCATTGATAAGGCCCTTTGAGGTAAGCAAAATGATACTTCACCGATATTCATTTTGTGATCTTGGCTTCTAAGACCTCTCTTTAGATATTGCTGAATTTTAAATTGCTTGGGGAGCTTTAAAAAATCCCAAAGCCCTGCCACACTCATACCAATTAAATCAGAATTTCTTCCAGGAGACTCCAGTATGCAGATAGGTTGAGGACCAGTGCTTCTTAACACTTAATGTACATATGAATGACTTGTGGATCTTGATGAACTTGCAGGTTTTGAGTGTAGGCTTATGCTGAGGCACAAGATTCTGCATTTTTAAAAAATATGTTTTTATTAAATAGGGAACACTTCACAAATTTGTGTATTATCTTTGTGTAGGGCGCCGTGCTAATCTTCTCTGAATTGTTCCAATTTTAGTATATGTGCTCTCAAAGCAAGCACAGATATTGCATTTCTAACCAGCTCCCAGGTGAAGCCCACAATAGTCCTCCCTGGTCCTTGAGTAGCTAGGGAGTTAGGAAGTATTCCCTCTATTTCTGTCTCCTAAAAGAGATTACAAAGAACTGTACAGCTGCTTCTTTCAATGTTTGATATAATTTGCCAGTGAATCTATCTGGGGCTAGGGACTTTCTGTTTTGGAAGTTTATTAATTATTGATTCAATTTTTAAAATAATCCTGGGTCTTTACAGATTGTCTAATTTGTGTGTGTGAATTTTGGCAGATTGCATCTTTCAAGGAATTGGTCCATTTCATCTAGGTTATCAAATTCGTGAGAATAGTTTTGTTACTATCCTTTCAATGTCTGTGGGGTCTTTAAGTGATGTCCACTCTTTTTTTAAAAAAACTTTTACTGACAGGGCCAACCAGGTAATGTCTACTTTTTTTATTTCTGATATTAGTGATTATGTCCTCTCTCTTTTTTTTTTTTTTTTTGCAGTTAGTGCAACTGGAGACTTATAAATTTTATTGATCTTTTCAAATAACCGGCTTTTGTTTTTTTGTTAATTTTCTCTATTGATTTTCAGTTTCATGTTTTTTCTGATTTTTATTATTTCTTTTCTTCTGCTTAATTTGTCTTTAATTTACTCTTCTATTTCTAGTTTTCCAAGGTGGTAGTACACATTATTGATTTTGGATTTGTCTTTTTTTTCTAATATATGTTTCCAATGACATAAATTTCCCTTTTATTGCAATTGCTGCATCCCACAAATTTTGTTAATTATATTTTCATTTTTATTTAGTTCAAAATTTCTACATATACAATTGAGTATATTGTTGCTATTATTATTTTAACCAGTTATCTGTTAGATCAATTAAGAATAAGAAAAATAGGCTGGGCACGGTGGCTCACACCTGTAATCCTAGCACTTTGGGAGGCTGAGGCAGGTGGATCACCAGGTCAGGAGATTGAGACCACCCTGGCTAACATGGTAAAACCCTGTCTCTACTAAAAACACAAAAAATTAGCCAGGCGTGGTGACAGGCACCTGTAGTCCAAGCTACTTTGGAGGCTGAGGCATAGGAATGGCATGAACCCAGAAGGCAGACCTTGCAGTGAGCCAAGATCCCACCACTGCACATTAATGTTCTCCTTTCTTTATGTAGATTTCATTTTCTGACCTTTATTGATTTTCTGATCTTTAACAATTTTCTTCTCTTTGAAGAACATCTTTTGGCTACACATGGTGGCCAATGCCTGTAATCCCAGCACTTTGGGAGGCTGAGGTGGGAGGATCACTTGAGGCCAAGATTTCCAAACCAGGCTGGCCAACATAGTGAGACCCTGTCTCCAATTTTTTTGTTTGTTTGTTTTTTGAGACAGAGTCTCAGTCTGTTGCCCAGGTTGGAGTGCACAGGCATGATCAGGGCTCACTGCAGACTTGACCTCCCAGGCTCAAGTGATCCTCCCATCTCAGCCCCCCAAGTAGCTGGGACTACCAGTGTGTGCGTCACCACACCTGGCTGATTTTTTGTATTTTTAGTAGAGATGGGGTTTTGCCATGTTGCCCAGGCTGGTTTTGAATTCCTGAGCTCAAGTGATCTGCCCACTTCAGCCTCCCAAATTGCTGGGATTACAGGCATGAGCCACCATGCCGGGCCTTCTATTTAAAAAATAAAATAAAGTAAAATAACTTTTTTTTTGAGACGGAGTCTCGCTCTGTCGCCCAGGCTGGAGTGCAGTGGCGCGATCTTGCTCACTGCAAGCTCTGCCTGCCGGGTTCACGCCATTCTCCCGCCTCAGCCTCCCGGAGTAGTTGGGACCACAGGCACCCACGACCACGCCCGGCTAATCTTTTTTGTATTTTTAGTAGAGACGGGGTTTCACTGTGTTCGCCAGGATAGTCTCGATTTCCTGACCTTGTGATCCGCCCGCCTCAGCCTCCCAAAGTGCTGGGACCACAGGCGTAAGCCACTGCGCCCGGCCTAAATAAAGTAAAATAACTTTTAAAAAACATTTCTGCAAGACAAATGTACTGACAACAAATTCCTCTGACGTTTATTTGTCTGAGAAAGTCTATTTCTTCTTTAAATCTGAAGGGAAATTTCACAGTATACAGAATTCTAAGTTGGTGGTATTTTTCTACCAACATGTTAAATATACTGCATTCTCTTCCTGCTTGCATGGTTTCTAATAAGTCAGATGTAATTCTTATCTTTGTTTCTCTATAGTTAAGAATATTTTTCCCCTCTGACTTCATTGAAGATTTTTTCTTTATCTTTGATATTCTGTAGTTTGAATATGATATACCTATGTGTAATTTACTTAGGATTTATTCTTCCTGGTATTCTTCGAGTTTCCTGAATCTGTAGTTTGGTATCTAACATTAATTTGGGAGAAACTGTCAGTTCATAATTGCTTCAAATATTGTTTTTGGCCAGGCGCAGTGGCTCACGCCTGTAATTCCAGCACTTTGGGAGGCTGAGGTGGGTGGATCACCTGAGGTCAGGAGTTTGAGACCAGCCTGGCCAACATGGTGAAACCCCGTCTTTACTAAAAATGCAAAAATTAGTTGGGTGTGGTGGCAGGAGCCTGTAATCCCAGCTACTAGGGTGGCTGAGGCAGGAGAATCACTTGAATTCAGGAGGCAGAGCTTGCAGTGAGCTGAGATTGCGCCACTGCACTCCAGCCTGGGTGACACAGCGAGATTCTGTCTCAAAAATAAAATATATATATATATACACACACACATATATATACATATACATATATAGTTTTTGTTCCTTTCTCTCTTTCTGTATTTTTTATAATTGCCCCACAGTTCTTGAATATTTTGCTCCCCCTTTTTTGGGTCTTTTTTCTCTTTGCTTTTCAGTTTCTACTGGACATCCTCAAGCTCAGAGTATCTTTCTTCAGCTATGTTTAGTCAACCCGTAAGCTCATGAATGGCAATCTTCATAGTGTTTTTAATCTCTAGCATTTTTTTGACTCTTTCTCAGAATTTCCATCTGTCTTATTACATGCCATCTACTTTATCCATTGGAGCTTTCATTTATTTATTTTTCTTTTTTAGAGGCATAGTCTCCTTTGTCACCCAGGCTGGAATGCAGTGACATGATCATAGCTCACTGCAGCCTCAAACTCCTGGGCTCAAGTGATCCTCCTGCCTCAGCTTTCTGAGCACTTGGGACTACAGACATGCACCACTGTGTCTGGGTATTTTTTGTAGTTTTTGTAGTGATTGGATCTCGCTATGTTCTGCAGGGTGGTCTTGAACTCCTAGCTTCAACTGATTTTCCTGCCTGGGTCCCCCAAAGTGCTGGGATTATAGGTGTGAGCCATCATGCCCAGCTTATTTATTTTTATTTTTGGAGATGGAGTCTTGCTCTGTCACCCAGGCTGAAGTGCAGTGGCACAATCTCAACTCACTGCAACCTCTGCCTCCTGGGTTCAAGCTATTCTCCTGTCTCAGCCTCCCGAGTAGCTGGGATTACAGGCACGCGCCACCATGCCCAGCTAGTTTTTTGTATTTTTAGTAGAGACGGGGTTTCACCATGTTGGCCAGGTTGGTCTTGAACTCCTAACCTCAGGTTATCCACCCACCTCGGCCTCCCAAAGTGCAGGCATGAGCCACCATGCCCAGCTGGAAACAAACGATTTTTTTTTTTTTTTTTTGGAGACAGTCTTGCTCCGTCACTCAGGCTGGAGTGCAGTGGTGCGATTTCGGCTCACTGCAACCTGTGCCTCCCATGTTCAAGCAATTATCATGCCTCATCCTGCCAAGTAGCTGGGATTATAGGCATATGCCACCACGCCAGGCTAATTTTTGTATTCTTAGTAGAGACGGTTTCACCATGCTGGCCAGGCTGGTCTTGAACTCCTGGCCTCTTATTTATTTTTTGAGACAGGGTCTTACTGTATCACCCAGGCTGGAGTGCGGTAATGTAATTATAGCTCACTAGCCTCAAACCCCAGGTCCCGACTGATCCACCTGCCTCAGTCTCCCAAGTAGCTAGGACTACAGCCACATGCCAGCCCACCCAGCTCATTTAAAAATTTTTTTTAGTTTTTAATTTAATTTAATTTTGAGACAGGGTCTTACTTTGTTGCTCAGGCTGGAGTGCAGTCGCGTGATCACTGCTCACTGCAGCCTTGACTTCTCCAGGCTCAGGGGATCCTCCTACCTCAGCCTCCTGAGTAGCTAGCACTACAGGTATATGCCACCATGCCCAGGTAATTTATGTATTTTTTGTAGAGACAGGGTTTTGCCATGTTGCCCAGGCTGGTCTTGAACTCCTGCACTCAAGCAGTCCTTCCACCTCACTCTCCCAATATGGTGGGAGCTACTATGCCTGGCCCCATTAGAGCTTTTATCATATTAATCATAGTTATTTTTAATTCCCACTCTGATAATTCTACCCTTCCTAAAATATCTGTGTCTGGTTCTAATGCTTTTTCTGGTCAAACTATTTTTTGCCTTTTAGTATGCCTTGTTTTTTTTTTTTTGTTGTTGAAAGCCAGACATGATGTACTGGGTAAAAAGAACTCTAGTAGGTAGGCCTTTCCTGATGTGGTGGTGAGGTGGGGTGGGTAGGGGGTAATATTCTACAGTCCTATGATTAGGTCTTGGTTTTTTTAGTAAGCCTGTGCCCCTAGGCTGTGAATTTCACAGTGCCTCTCAGTCTCCTCAAACTTTCACCTTAAATAGGACAGGATGGCTGGAGGGGTTTGGGGTTGGGTATTTCCCTTCACCAAGGTCATTTAAGTGCCCATAAAACCTCAATAGGTTAGCCTCTGATAAGATAGTTTATCTTAAAGGCAGGTCTTGTTAAGGAGAACAGAATGTTCTGGTGTATTTAAAAATGGTTTAAATTTCCCTGCGCAGTCCGATGCTAAAGGGGATTTTTTTTTTTTTTTGGTAATCTTCAGTGTAAGAGCATCATAAAGTTCCAGGAGGTAAAACGTGGGCCCAGAAATGATCTTTTCGGTATGCTAGTGCTGATGAGGTTCATAGTTGCTGATTCATAATAATTTATGAATCAGAAGAAATTGAAGTATGAATCAGAATGGTAATTAATTGGTTTTCTTATGGGCATTCCTATGACTGAGATACTCAAGTTTCTTCCACAAGCAAACTTACCAGATTTTAAAAAAACAGGAGATGCACTTGACAGCTTTTGCATCAAATAATGGAAAATCCTTGTGTGAAGCTGTCTCCACTCATAACAGAAAAACTTCCTTATGCCTGCAAATTTTATATTGCCCTGATTCAGTGTTAAAAGTGTAGTTAAGTGTTCTCAGATTCTGGTAATTGTGGTTAAAGATAATTAAGACACCACTTATGGGATGATTATTCTGTGCTAGGAACAATGAACAATGCTAAGCACTTAATCCTCACAAAATCTTTGCAGGTAAAGATGACTACATTTTGGTAGATTAGGAAGGTTAAATGACTGATTTAGTCAAAGTCACCCTCCAAGTTAGTAAAACCCAGAGGCAAGCTCCAATGCAGAGCTCTCTAGTCTGTTACAGTAGTTAGTCAGAAATGTGCGGGGCAGGAGTGTCCCCGACCCCCAACCCAGGAATGTCAGGCCACCATCAGGTGATGGTCAGGCAGTTGTTACACTGGCTCTGCAAAATAGTAATTGGTTGCAGCTGGCGCCAGGGAAAGGTCGTCTCCCAATAGATAGAAACACCTGAAACTAGTGATCAGCAACTTCCTGATAAGATCTCAGGAGCTGGGCGAATGGGCTCAATCAAGCACATGCACTAAGAGGCAAAATGCCGAGTTTAACTGGTATATGGCCTCCTGAGAACATTTGACTAGTAAGAGAAAAACACCTCAGTTGAGCATGCATACAACTTCAGTAAACACACTGTGCATGTGGCCCCACCCAAGTGCTGACAGGCCACTGTGCATGCAGACAGCCCAGCCCAAGGGAAGAATCAGGGGAGAAGGGACATAAGACCCCGGAAGTATGCCAGTGTATAAAACCACAAGTCAAAGGTCAAACTGTGCATGGGATTTCTCAAGTTGCCCACTTACCCTCTTCCAAGTGTACTTTATTTCCTTTCATTACTGCCCTAAAGCTTTTTGATAAACTTTTACTCCTGCTCTAAAAGTTGTCTTGCTCTCTCACTCTGCCTTATGCTGCTCTGTCGAATTCTTTCTTCTGAAAAGGCAAGAACTGAGGTTGCTGCAGACCTGTGTGGATTGGCCGCTACTAACATATTTTGGTGCCACGTGACTAGGATACCTTCTGCTGCTAACAAGCCGACCACATATTATATGGACCCTATCTGTTTTCTGGATAGCCCGGAACAAACCCTTCTAAGTTAACACATTCTTTATTCTGATATGTTACAGTAAAATTAGTTATAAATGATACAGTTTTAGCTTTGGCCAGTTAATAAATGTGACTGTGATCAGTTTTCCATGAAATTTTATAATCTGGAATATTTTATTTTTAGAGACAGGGTCTCACTCTGTTTCCCATGCTGGAGTGCAGTGGTGCCATCACAGCTCACTGCAGCCTTGAACTCCTGGCCTCAAGCGATCCTCCCACCTTAGCCTCCTAAGGCACTGGGATTATAGGTGTGAGCCCCCAGGCCTGGCGGTAAAATATTTTAAATGTGTAAAAGAAGTATAGAGAATATTGTAATAAATACTCATTTTATTCATATGATGACTTCTAAGCATTGGCATAAGTCTATTCTCCACAAAGAGATTCCTTTAAAACATAGACCAGTTGGGTCATTTTTCTTCTCAAAATTCTCTGATGGCTTCCCACATCTAAATTAAAGCTCAAAGTCCCAGTGAGCCACCAGGCCTTACACCATCGGGCTCCCCATTAACTCCTGCCCTGTCTCCTACCATTTTCCCTCCCATTACTGGTACTCCAGCTACATTTACCTTGCTATCTTTTCAAGATGCCAAGCGCTTTCCTGTGTCAGCCTTCGTGCCTACAGCTCTGTCTGAACCACTCCTATCTCAGGATCAAGTTTAGCTGTAAGACAGTGGAAGAAAAAAATAGACATTTATTTATTTCATGTTCAAGAAATATAGAAGCAGTCACTCCAAAGACAGTATAGCAATTTCATTGTTTCAAGCACCCACACTTTTTTTTTTTTTTTTTTTTTTTTTTTTTTTTTTTGAGACGGAGTCTGGCTCTGTCGCCCAGGCTGGAGTGCAGTGGCCAGATCTCGGCTCACTGCAAGCTCCGCCTCCCAGGTTCACGCCATTCTCCTGCCTCAGCCTCCCGAGTAGCTGGGACTACAGGCGCCTGCCACCATGCCCTGCTAATTTTTTGTATTTTTAGTAGAGACGGGGTTTAACCGTGTTAGCCAGGATGGTCTTTATCTCCTGACCTCGTGATCCGCCCGCCTCGGCCTCCCAAAGTGCTGAGATTACAGGCGTGAGCCACAGTGCCCGGCCGCACCCACACTCCTTCTGTCTTGTTGCTTTGCCATATGCGACTTCCATTCTCAAAGTCATTTCACAGTCCAGGGTAGCTACAGGAACTCCAGTCCCTGGGCTTCAATTCCAGCCAACAGGAAAGAGGAAAAGGCAAAGAGCACTCTGTTTCTATGAAATGTCAGGTGAAAAAGGAAGTGGAACATCTGATTTCTTGAAAATGTTTTTTTAAAATTCAAACCTTTGGCCGAGCATGGTGGCTTACGCCTGTAATCCCATTAGGTTGGGAGGCCGAGGTGGGCAGATCATGTGAGGTCAGGAGTTCAAGGCCAGTCTGGCCAACATGGTGAAACCCCATCTCTATTAAAAATACAAAAATTAGCCAGGTGTGGTGGCAGATGCCTGTAGTCCCAGCTACTCGGGAGGCTGAGGCATGAGAATCGCTTGAATCCAGGAAGTGGAGGTTGCAGTGAGCCAAGATCATGCCATGGCACTCCAGCCTGGGCAACAGAGCAAGACTCTGTCTCAAAATAAAATAAAATAAAATAAAAAATTCAAACCTTTGCTATATGAAGTAAAATCCCATCTACATTCATGGCAGCCTTCCAGGATATTAAGGTATTCTTTTCAACTAAATTTGTTTCTAATCAGCCTACTAGCAAAAATGTAGTTGAGCTTGATATCATTGTATTGCCTATGATCCAGGATAATTCAGATACTTTTTGTTTTAGCAACAGAAACCTCTTAAAAATTAATTACATAACCATAATATATAAAAATAATAATATAGTTATTGATGCAAGTACTTTAGGTGCTAAAATTATAACATTTGCTTATCAGGAAATTATACAGTGAAAACAGTATTTTTAGCACAAAAACCTTGTGAGAAAGGTTCACTGATTTCAGCTGTAGTAAGCCTCTGAAATTTATTTCTGTATTTGTTTTGATCGTACAATATTGAGAAAAAATCTCACTCATGTACTAGCAGTCAGAAATGATTTTAGGTTTTTGTGTTGTGTTGTTTTGTTCATCTTATAATTTTATAGTTCTGATTAAACAGACATGGCAAAGGAAGATTTATTCTGAGATACCAATAAAAATAGCACAAGTTAACATATATGTTCCCAATATGTTAAACTTCAGTATATAGTACGTGAGAAGGCATGGTAAATATGTTTTTATACAAATTGTTAAATGTTTTAAATAAATAATTATATATTTTTAATATATTTTGAAAGGGCACATTGTCACTTATTGGCTTTTAAAAAAATAGCTTTGGCTGGGCACGGTGGCTCACGCCTGTAATCCCAGCACTTTGGGAGGCTGAGGCGGGTGGATCACCTGAGGTCAGGAGTTTGAGACCAGCCTGGCCAACATGGCAAAACCCCGTCTTTACTAAAAATACAAAAAATTAGCTGGGCAAGGTGGTGGGTGCTTGTAATCCCAGCTACTTGGGAGGCTGAGACAGGAGAATCACTTGAACCCAGGAGGCAGAGGTTGCAGTGAGCCGAGATTGCGCCACTGCACTCCAACCTGGGCAACAGAGCAAGACTCCGTTTAAAAAAAAAAAAGGCCAGGCATAGTGGCTCATGCCTGTAATCCCAGCACATTGGGAGACAGAGGTAGGTGGATCACCTGAGGTCAGGAGTTTGAGACCAGCCTAGCCAACCTGGTAAACTCCGTCTCTTCTAAAAATACAAAAATTAGCTGGGCTTGGTGGTGGGCGCCTATAATTCCAGCTACTCGGGAGGCTGAGGCAGGAGAATCACTTGAACCTGGAAGGTGGAGCTTGTAGTGAGCCGAGATTGCGCCACTGCACTCCAGCCTGGGCCTGGGCGATGGAGCGAGACTCCATCTCAAAAAAAGGAAAAGAAAGGGAAAAGGAAAGGGAAGGGAAAATAGCTTCATTGAAATTAGGTCTCAAAATTTTCACCTCTTGTAAGTATACAATCCAGTGAATTTAAATAAACATATAGAATAGTATAGTCATTACGAACCCCATTTAAGGACATTTCTATCACCCCCAAAAGATTCCTCAGGCCCATTTGTAGTCATTTTTCTTTCCCATCCAAACCCCAAACAAATTTCTTTCTTTTTTTTTTTTTTCTTGACACAGAGTTTTGCTCTGTCGCCCAGGCTGGAGTGCAGTGACACGATCTTGGCTCACCGCAACCTCCACCTCCCGAGTTCAAGTGATTCTCATGTCTCAGTCTCCTCAGCTTCCTGGGTAGCTGGGGCTACAGGCATGCGCCACCATGCCTAGCTAATTTTTTGTATTTTTAATAGAGACGGGATTTTGCCACGTTGCCCAGGCTGGTCTCGAATGCCAGAGCTCAGGTAATCTGCCTACCTCGGCCTCCCAAAGCCCCAGACAACTTTCTAGCTATAAAGATTTGCCTTTCTGCGTGTTTCATTAAATGGAATCCTATAATTGCTTTGTACTTTTATTATACTTAGCATGTTTTTGAGGTTTATCCATCTTGTAGCATGAATTAGTACTTCATTAATTTTGATTGCTGAACGATTTTTTATTGTATAAGTATACCACATTTTCTTTATTCACTTATCAGTTGATGGGTATATTCAGGTTTCCAATTTTTAGCTGCCATGGATAATGCTACTGTAAAACATTTGCTTACAGCCCTTTGTGTAAACATAGGCTGTCATTTGTCTTGGACAGATTCTGAGAAATGAATTGCTGATTCATATGTTAAACATACGTTTAGCTTTTAAAGAAACTGCCAAACTGTTTTCCAAAGTGATTTTATCATTTTTAAATTCCTACCAGCAATGTATGAAGATTTCAATTTCTCCACATCATCTCGCCAACACCTGTTATTGTAGGTCTTTTTGATTATAGCTATTTTAGTGGGTATGAAGTGGTATCTCATTATGGTTTGAATTTGTATTTACCTAATGGCTAATGATGCCAAGCATCTTTTCATGTACTTGTTGGCCATTCATATATCTTAGGTGAAATGTCTTTGTAAATTTTTGCCCTTTTTGTTTTTTTTTTTTGAGACGGAGTCTCACTCTGTCGCCCAGGCTGGAGTGCACTGGCGCGATCTTGGAGCACTGCACGCAGTGAGCCAAAATCGCGCCAGTGCACTCCAGCCTCCTGGGTTCACGCCATTCTCCTGCCTCAGCCTCCCGAATAGCTGGGACTACAGGCACCCTCCACAATGCCTGGCTAATTTTTTTTTGTGTGTGTATTTTTAGTACAGATGGGGTTTCACTGTGTTAGCCAGGATGGTCTTGATCTCCTGACCTAGTGATTCGCCTGCCTCAGCCTCCCAAAGTGCTGGGATTACAGGCGTGAGCCACAGTGCCTGGCCAATTTTTGCCCCTTTTTAAACTGAGTTATTTGTTTTGGTATTGAGTTGTAATGGTTCTTTATATAATCTGGATAAAAATTGGTCCTCTATCCTGAACGTTTAGAAAAGGGCACGTGCAATATTTATATTTTAAATTTAGTTTACAGATGGAACTAAAAATGTGTACATGTTGTATATATTTTTACTTGTGGGAAAAAAGTCTATACTATGGATATAAGTTATCTGATATTTGATTTGTAAATATTTTCTCTCAGTCTGTGGCTCGTCTTTTCATTTTCTTAATGGTTAAAATATATTTTAGAAACAATATTTCCACAAAAGTCTTGGAGTCCCTAAATCCTCTACTTAGTAACCTTGGCTTATCAGAACACAGTTTGAAATCTACTGCAAGTGTTTAGCAACCTTTAAATTCAGCAAGCTGAGTAACTCATCTTCAAGGGAATTGTGCACTGGTGGAATTGGAAGGGACTTTGCAATTAACCAGATGCCCTCCTAATTTTGTAAATAGACTCCTGGATAGTTGAATGACTTAATTACAATTCCTGTACAACAGGTTTTATAGAGCATTTCTGAAGGCCCACGGCTTGGATTTGAGGTCAAACGGAGATTAGGGACTGATGAGTTCAGATAGAACAGGGATATAAAGTGAGAAAATCAGTATTTCCTGATAGCACTAGAGATTTATTTGCTGGCTGAAGATAAAGGAGATTAGGCATCAAAGAGAAGGAAGGAAGAACTCTGAACTCTATAAAAACAGGCTTTAATAATAGAAATCTACCTCAAAGACTGTTTTAAAAAGAAAAAAGAAACCCAACAAACAACAACTCTTGTAGTTAAAGGAATTGTGTTCAGTATATAAGGGGTGACTTTGCATATTTACCTCAAATCACCCCATGCCTTCTTTGCATTTATGACTCATGTACATTTCTTTTTGTATATTCCTTTAAACTAACCTCATTCATTCATACCACTTTAAACTAACTTCATTCATTTGTTCATTAACAATGTACTGTTCTTTTTAATGATAAAAACCCTAAATAGGAATAGAAGGAAACGTCTTCAGCATGATAAAGACCATGTATGAAAAACCCACAGCTAACTTCATATCAATGGTGCCATCAAACTGAAAGTTTTTCGCTTAAGATTATTAACAAGTGCCTGATTTTGCCACTTACATTCAACATGGTATTAGCAATTGTAGCCAGAGAAATTAGGCAACAAAAAGAAAGGCATTTAAATTGGAAAGGAGAAAGTAAAATTATTTCTGTTCACAGATGTTGTAATCTTCTATGTTGAAAACCTTAAAGATTCCACACACGAAAATTAGAGCCACTAAATAAATTCAGCAAAATAGAGGCATACAAAATCAACACAGAAAAATCAGTTGCATTTTATTTCTTATTTATTTATTTATTTATTTATTTATTTATTTATATTTTTAGATGCAGGGTCTCACTCTGTTGCCCAGGCTAGAGTACAGTGGCATGATCATAACTCACTGCAGCCTTGAACTCCTTGGCTCAAGTGATTCTCCTGCCTCAGCCTCCTGAGTGGCTAGGAATAGAAGCATGTGCCACCATGCTCAGCTCATTTTTTAATTTTTTGTGGAGAAGGTGTGTTACTATTTTGCCCAGACTGGTCTCAAGCTCTTGATCCTCCCTTCTTGGCCTGGGCATGAGTCATTGCACCTGGCCTAGTTGCATTTTATACTCTAGCAATGAATAATCAATCCAAAAAGGAAACTAAGAGAACAACTCAAGTCATAATATCATCAAAAAGAGTAAAATACTTATAAATAAATTTAACCAAGGAGCTGCAAGATTTGTGTACTGCAAACTTCAAAACATTGCGGAAAGAGACTGAAGAAAATGTAAACGAATATGCAGACATCCTGTGTTCATGAACTGGAAGATCTAATATTGTGTTTTTTTTGTTGTTGTTTAAACATGGTCTTGCTTCTGTCACCCAGGCTGGAGTCCAGTGGCGCAATCTTGGCTCGTTGCAGCCTCTGCTTCCCAGGTTCAGGTGATTCTCCTACCTCAGCCTCCTGAGTAGCTGGGATTACAGGCGTGCACCACCAAGACCAGCTAATTTTTGTATATTTTGTAGAGACTGGTTTTGCCATGTTGCCCAGGCTGGTCTTGAACTCCTGAGCTCAAGTAATCTGCCTGCCTTGGCCTTCCAAAGTGCTGGGATTACAGGCATGAGCCACTGCGCAGCCTGGAAGATCTAAAATTGTTAGGATGGCAATACTACCCAACACAGTCTACAGATTCAACGCAATCCTATCTAGCTCCTAAGGCCATTTTTTTGTAGAAATAGAAAAACCCATTCTAAAATTCAAATGAATTGTAAGGGACTCTGAATAGCCAAAATCATCTTGAAAAAGAATAAACTTGGAAGTCTCACACTTCCTGATTTTAAATCTTATTACAAAGTTCTGGCTGGGTGTGGTGGCTCATGCTTCTAATCTCAGTTCTTTGGGAGGCCAAAGTGGAAGGATCAGGAGTTTGTAACCAGTTTGGGCAACACAGTGAGACCTCATCTCTATTAAATTAAAAAAAAAAACAAAGTTAATTGTAATTAAAATAGTGTCGTATGGGCATAGAGACAGACGTTTAGACCAATGCAATAGAATAAAGAGACCAGAAATAAACCTTTGCATATGCGGGCAATTGATTTTCAACAAATGTGCCAAGACTAATTCAGTCGGGAAAGGATAGATGTTTCAACATATGAGGCTGGGAAAACTGGATAGCCGCATATGAAAGAATAAAGTTGGACCCTTACCTTATATAGTACTATATACAAAAATGATCAAAAACCTAAATCTAAGACTTAAACTTATGAAACTCTTACAAGAAAACATAAGAGAAAATCATTATGACATTGGATTTAGCAGTGCTTTTTAGGCTATGACACTGTTGCTTATTTTACAGGATGCTTTCCCTCCCCAACCCATGACCACACATGCCAATAGCAATCCCAGATATTACGATGACTAAAAATGCTACTGGACATTTCCAAACATCCTGCCTGTAGTTGAAACCACTATAAGATACAAAAGATATTTGTGTGTGTTGTTAATAGCATATTTTCAGAGATTGGTAAGAAACTGCCCCATTTGGTAGGGTGTCTTCTCTATTCACTCTTCTTAGTACAAATTGTTAAATTAGCTCATCCCTTTAATATAATTTTTAATGTTTGTGGGTACATTGTAGGTGTATATATTTATGGGTTACATGAGATATTTTGACATAGGCATACAATATGTAATAATCACATCAGGATAAATGAGATATCCATCACCTCAAGCATTTATCCTTTATTTATTTATTTTTTGAGAGGGAGTCTTGCTCTATTGCCCAGGCTGGAGTGCAATGGCATGATCTTGGCTTGCCGCAACCTCTGACTCCTGGGTTCAAGCAATTCTCCTGCCTCAGCCTCCCGAGTAGCTGGGATTAGAGGCACCCACCACCATGCCTGGCTAATTTTTGTATTTTTAGTAGAGATGGGGTTTCACCATGTTGGCCAGGCTAGTCTTGAACTCCTGACCTCAAGAGATCCGCCCACCTCGGCCTCCCAAAGTGCTGGGATTATAGGCATGAGCCACCGCACCTGGTCAACATTTATCCTTTCTTTGTGTCACAGACAACCCAATTATATTTTTTTAGTTATTTTAAGATGTACAATAAATTTCTGTTGCCTGTAATCACCCAGTTGTGCTATCAAATACTAGATCTTATTCATTCCATCTAATTATATTTTTGTACCCATTAACCAACCCCACTTCTCCCCTGCCACACTACCTTCCCAGTCTCTGGTAACCACCTTTTTTTTTTTTTTTTTTTTTTTTTTTTTGAGACAGAATCTTGCTCTATCTCCCAGGCTGGAGTGCAGTGGCGCAGTCTCAGTTCACTGCAACCTCTGCCTCTTGGGTTCAAGCAATTCTCCCTGCCTCAGCATCCCGAGGAGTTGGGATTACAGGCACCTGCCACCATGCCCGGCTAAATTTTTTTTTTTTTTTTTTTTTTTTGAGACGGAGTCTCGCTCTGTCGCCCAGGCTGGAGTGCAGTGGCGGGATCTCGGCTCACTGCAAGCTCTGCCTCCCGGGTTCACGCCATTCTCCTGCCTCAGCCTCCCAAGTAGCTGGGACTACAGGCGCCCGCCACTACGCCCGGCTAATTTTTTGTATTTTTAGTAGAGACGGGGTTTCACCGTTTTAGCCGGGATGGTCTCGATCTCCTGACCTCGTGATCCGCCCGCCTCGGCCTCCCAAAGTGCTGGGATTACAGGCGTGAGCCACCGCGCCCGGCCGCCCGGCTAAATTTTTGTATTTTTAGTAGAGACAGGATTTCACCATGTTAGCCAGGCTTGTCTCAAACTCCTGATCTCAAGTGATCTGCCTGCCTCAGCTTCCCATATTGCTGGCATTACAGGCATGAGCCACCGACCATGCTTATAACCACCATTTTAAAAAATGTAATAGAGATGGGGTCTCACTATGTTGCCCAGGCTGGTGTCAGACAGACTCAAGAGATTCTCCCACATCAACTTCCCAAAGTGTTGGGAGTTACAGACATAAGCCACTGCGCCTGGCCCCTAACCACCGTTCTGCTCTATCTCCATGAGTTCGCTTGTTTTGATTTTTTAGCTCATGCAAACAAGTGAGAACATGAGAAGTTTGTCTTTCTGTGCCTGGCTTATTTCACTTGACATAATGACCTTCAATTCCATTTATATTGTTGCAGATGCCAGGATCTAATTTTTTTGTGGCTGAATAGTATTCTGTTGTGTATAAGTAGCATATTTTCTTTATCCATTCATCTGCTGATGGACACTTAGGCTGTTTCTAAATCTTGGTTATTCTGAATAGTGCTGTAATATAAACATAGGAGTGCAGATATCTCTGTGTCATACTGATTTCCTTTTTTGGGGGTATATACCAAGCAGTGGGATTCCTGGTACTTACATATGTAAGTTCTATTTTTAGTTTTTTGAGAAACCTCCAAACTATTCTCCATAGTGGTTGGACTAATATGTATTCCTGCCAACAGTGCACAGGGGTTCCCTTTTCTCCCTCCACATTCTTGACAGCATTTGTTATTACCTGTCTTTTGCATAAAAACTGTTTTAACTGGGATGAGATGATATCTCATGATAGTTTTGATTTGCATTTCTCTGATTAATGATAATGAGTACCTTTTCATTTACTTGTTTGCCATTCGTGCGTCTTCTTTTGAGAAATGTCTGTTCAGATATTTTGGCCATTTTTAAATTGGATTATTAGTTTTTTATAGAGTTTTTTTCAGTTCCTTATACATTCTGGTTATTAATCCCTTGTCAGATGGGTAGTTTACAAATATTTTCTCCCATTAATATGGTTCTGTGGTTTGTCCCCTCACTTTGTTGATTATTTTCTTAGCTGTGCAGAAGTTTTTAACTTGATGTGATCCCATTTATCCATTTTTGCTTTAGTTGCCTGTGCTCATGGGGTATTACTCAAAAAAACTGTTGTCCAGTTCCATATCCTGGAGATCTTCCTCAATGTGTTCTTTTAGTAGATTCATAGTTTGAGTTTTGTTTTGTTTTGACAGAGTTTCACTCTTGTTGTCCAGGCTGGAGTGCAGTGGCACAATATCAGCTCACTGCAACCTCTGCCTCCTGAGTTCAAGCAATTCTCCTCCCTCAGCCTCACGAGTAGCTGGGATTACAGGTGCCCACAACCACGCCCAGCTAATGTTTTGTATTTTTAGCAGAGATAGGGTTTCATCATGTTGGCCAGGCTGGTATCAAATTCCCGACCTCAGGTGATCCACCTGCCTTGACCTCCCAAAGTGTAGGGATTACAGGTGTGAGCCACCTCGCCCATCCATGAGGTCTTATATTTAAGTTTTTAATCCATTTTGATTTGATATTTGTATATGGTAAGAGATAGGGGTCTAGATTCATTCTTCTGAATATGGATACCCAGTTTTCCCAGCATCATTTATTGAAGAGATATTCTTTTCCCACTGTATGTTCTTGAGACCTTTGTCAAAAATGAATTCACTGTAGATGTATGGAATTGTTTCTGGTTTCTCTATTCTGTTCCATTGGTCTATGTGTTTTTATGTCAGTACCTTGCCATTTTGGTTATTATAGCTCTGTACTATAATTTGATGTCAGGTAATGTGTTTTTTCTAGTTTTGTTCTTTTTGTTCAGGATGGCTTTGCCTATTGTGGGTCTTTTGAGGTTCCATATAAAGTTTAGAATTTGTTTTTCTATTCTTATGATGAATGCCATTGGTATTTTGATGGGGATTGCATTGAATCTGTAGATTTCTTTGGGTAATGTGACATTTTAACAACAATGATTCTTCCTATCTATGAACATGGAATATCTTTCCATTTTTGGTGTCCTCTTCAATTTCTTTCATTGCTATTTTATCACTTTCATTGTAAAGATATTTTACTCCTTTGATTAAGTTAATTCCTAGGTATTTTATTTTATTTGTAGCTATTGTAAATGGGATTACTTTCTTGATTTTTTAGATTGTTTGCTACTGACATATAGAAATGCTACTGATTTTTTGTATGTTGATTTTGTATCCTGCAACTTTACTGAATTTGTCAGTTCTAGTAGGTTTTTGCTGGAGTCTTTAGTTTTTCCAAATATGGGATCATATCATCTGCCAACAAAGATAATTTGACTTCCTTCTTTTCAGTTTGGATGCCCTTTATTTTTTTCTCTTATCTGATTGCTCTAAATAGGACTTCCAGTACTATGTTGAATAACAGTGGTGAAAGTGGGCATCCTTGTTTTGTTCCAGATCTTAGAGAAAAGGCTTCCAATTTCTCCCCATTCAGTATGATACTAGCTGTGGGTCTGTTGTATATGGCTTTTATTATGTTGAGGAATATTCTTTCTATACCCAGTTTTTTGGAGGTTTTTATCATGAAGGGATGTTGAATGTTAGCAAATGCTTTTTCAGCATCTGTTTTAATAATCATGTCTTTGTCCTTCATTCTATTGATATGACGTATGACATTGATGGATTTGTATATGTTGAACCATCTTTGCATCACTGGGATAAACCCTATTTGGTCATGATAAATGATGTTTTCAATGTATTGTTGAATTTGATTTGCTAGTATTTTGTTAAGGATTTTTTCATCAATATTCATCAAGGATATTGGCTTGTAGTTTTTTTTTTTTGATGTGTCTTTGTCTGGTTTTGGCATCAAGGTAACACTGGCCTCATAGGATGAGTTTGGAATTATTCCCTCTTCCTCTATTTTTTGGAATAGTTTTGGTAGAATTGGCATTTTTCCTTAAATGTTTGCTAGAATTCAGCAGTGAAGTCATTGGGTTCTGAGCTTTTCTTTGCTAGGAGACTTTTTATTATGGCTTCAATCTTGTTACTTGTTATTAGTCTGTTCACATTTTGGATTTCATTATGGTTCATTCTTAGTTGGTTGTGTGTATTCAAGAATTTATTTCTTCTAGGTTTTCCAATTTATTATCCTATGGTTGCTTATAGTGACTCTAACGATCCTTTGAATTTCTGCAGTATCAGTTGTTGTGTCTCCTTTCTCATCTCTGATTTTATTTATTTGTTTCTTTTCTCTTTTTTTCTTCATTAGTCTGGCTAAAGGTTTGTCAATTTTGTTTAACTTTTCAAAAAACCAACTTTCAGTTTCATTGATTTTGTCTATTGTTTTCTTTGTTTCAGTTTCATTTATTTTGCTCTGATCTTCATAATTTCTCTTCTTCTACCAGTTTTGGGTTTGGCTTGCCCTTCCTCTCCTAGTTCTTTAAGATGCATAGTTTGGTTGTTTATTTGAAGTTTTTCCACTTTTTTTTTTTTTTTTTTTTTTTTTTTTTTATGAGACGGAGTCTCACTCTGTCGCCCAGGCTGGAGTGCAGTGGTGCGATCTCGGCTCACTGCAACCTCCACCTCCTGGGTTCAAGTGATTCTCCTACCTCAGCCTCTTGAGTAGCTGGGACTACAGGTGCCCGCCGCCATGCCCAGCTAATTTTTTGTATTTTTAGTAGAGACGGGGTTTCACTGTGTTAGCCAGGATGATCTCAATCTCCTGACCTCGTGATCTGCCTGCTTTGGCCTCCCAAAGTGCTAGGATTACAGGCGTGAGCCACCACGCCTGGCTGTTTTTCTACCTTTTTATGTAGGTGCATATATAAACTTCCCTGTTAGTACTCCTTTTGCTGTATCCCATAGGTTTTGCTATGTTGTATTTCCATTATCATTTGTTTCAAGAAAATTTTTAATTTTCTTACTAGTTTCTTCATTGACCCACTAGTCATTCAGGAGCATGTTGTTTAATTTCCATGTGTTTGTATAGTTTCCAAAATTCCTCTTGTTGTTGATTTCTAGTTTTATTCCATTGTGGTCAGAGAAGATACTTGAGGTAATTGTGATTTTTTTTTGAATTTTTAAAGACTTGCTTTGTGGCCTAACATATGGTCTATCCTTGAGAAAGATCCATGGCTGAGGAGAAGAATGTGTATTCTGTAGCTGTTGGATAAATGTTCTGTAAATATCTATTAGTTTCATTTGGTGTATTGTGCAGATTAAGTTCAATTTTTCTTTGTTGATTTTCTGTCTGGAAGATCTGTCCAATGCTGAGAGTGGGGTGTTGAAGTCTCCAGCTGTTATCATATTGGAGTGTATTTCTCTCTTTAGCTCTAATAATATTTGCTTTATATATTTGGGTGCTGCAGTGTTGGGTACATACATGTTTACAATTGTTATATTTTCTTGCTGAATTGACCCCTTTATCATTATATAATGGTCTTTTCAAATTTTTTGTCTTACATATATATAGCTACATCTTCTCTTTTTAGGTTTCTATTGGTATGGAGTGTCTTTTTCCATTTCTTTATTTTCAGTTTATGTGTGTCTTTATAGGTGAAGTGTTTCTTGCAGTCAATAGATCATTGAGTTTTGTTTTTTTAATCCATTTGACGACTCTATATCTTTTTATTGGAGAATTTGGTCCATTTACATTCAATGTTATTATTGATACGTAAGGACTTAGTCCTGCCATTTTGTTATTTGTTTTATGGTGGTGGTTGTTTTTTTTCTTATCTTCCTTCCTTTCTTTTAGTGAAAGTGATTTTCTCTGGCAGTATGTTTTAATTTCTTTTTAGTTTTTGTGTATCTGTTTTATCTTTTTTGATCTGAGGTTACTATGAGGCTTGCAAATAATATATACATTTTGACACAGGGTCTCACTCTGTCATCCAGGCTGTAGTGTAGTGGTGTAATCACAGCTACCTGCAACCCCAACCTCCTGGGCTGAAGTGACCTTCTTACCTCAGCCTTCTGATTAGCTGGGAGCACAGATGTGCACCACCACGCCAGGCTATTTCTTTTATTTTTTGTAGGTGTGGGGTCTCCCTCTGTTGCCTAGGCTGATCTTGAACTCTTGGGCTCAAGCAATCCTTCTGCCTCAGCCTCCCAAAGTGCTGGAATTACATACATGAGTCACCATGCCTGGCTTCAAATAATATCTTACAGCCCATTCTTTTTTTTTTTTTTTTTTTTTTTTTGAGATGGAGTCTTGCTCTGTCACCAGGCTGGAGTGCAGTGGCACGGTCTTGGCTCACTGCAACCTCTGCCTCCTGGGTTCAAGCAATTCTCCTGCCTCAGCCTCCCAAGTAGCTAGGATTACAGGCACGCACCACCATGCTCGTCTAGTTTTTGTATTTTTAGTAGAGATGGGGTTTCACCATGTTGGCCAGGCTGGTCTTGAACTCCTGACTTCATGATCCGTCCACCTCAGCCTCCCAAAGTGCTGGGATTACAGGCGTGAGCCACCGCACCGGCTAGCCCATTCTTTTAAACTGATGACAACCTAACACTGATTGCATAAACAAACTAACAAGCAAAGAGAAAACTAATAAAAATGCTACACTTAACTTTATCCCCTCACTTTTTAGCTTTTTGTTTTTTTCTATTTATATCTTATTGCACTTTTTATGTCTTGAAAAGTTGTTGTAGTTATTTTCATTGGTTTATCTTTTAGTCATTCTACTCAAAATATGAGTAGTTTACACTTTGGAATTACGGTGTTATAATATTCCGTGGTTTTCTGTGTACTTATTATTACCAGTAAGTTTTGTACCTTCAGGTGATTCCTTATTGCTCATTAACATTCTTTTCTTCTTTTTCCTTATTTATTATACCTTTTATTTTGAGACAGGGTCTCACTCTGTTAGCTAGGTTAGGGTGCAGTGGCATGATCTCAGCTCACTGCAACCTATACTTTCTGGGCTAAAGTGAGCCCCCCCACCTCAGCCTCCTGAGTAGCTAGCTGCTACTACAGGTGCACACCACCATTTCCATAAAAAAATTTAAAAATTTAAAATTTTTTTTTGTAGAGGCAAGGTCTCATTATATTTTCCAGGCTGGTCTTGAACTCCTGGGCTCACACAATTCTCCTGCCTTGGCCTCCCATGTGCTGGGATTATAGGCATGAGCCACTGTACCTGGCCAACGTTTTTTTCTTTCAGATTGCAGTACTCCCTTTATCATTTCTTGTAAGATAGGCCTGGTGTTGATAAAATTCCTCAGTTTTTGTTTATCTGGGGAAGTCTTTATTTTTCCATATTTGAAGGGTATTTTCTCC
Organism: Homo sapiens; assembly: GCF_000001405.40. Lineage (NCBI taxonomy): Eukaryota > Metazoa > Chordata > Mammalia > Primates > Hominidae > Homo > Homo sapiens. The sequence continues at coordinate 88,180,319 of NC_000004.12, read as the reverse complement.
AGACATACCATCCTAGGATCCAAGTTTTTTTCCTTTAGCACTTTAAATATGTCATGTCACTCTCTCCTGGCCTGTAGATTTCCACTGAAAAGTCTGCTGCCAGGAATATTAGAGCTCCATTATATGTTACTTATTTCCTTTCTCTTGCTGCTTTTAGGATCCTTTATCTTTGGAAGTTTGATTATTAAATATCTTGAGGTAATCTTATTTGGGTTAAATCTGCTTGGTGTTCTGTAACCCCCTTTTACTTGAATATTGATATTTTTCTCTAGTTTTGGAAAGTTCTTTGTTATTGTCCTTTGAATAAATTTCTACCCCCCTCTCTCTACCTCCTCTTTAAGGCCAATAACTCTTAGCTTTGTCCCTTTCAGGCTATGTTCTAGATTTTGTTGGCATGCTTCATTCTTTTTTTATTCTTGATGTGTGCATGTGTTCTCTGCCTGTGTATTTTCAAATAGCCTGTCTTCAAGCTCACTCGTTATTTCCCTGCTTGATCAATTCTGCTATTAAAATCCTCTGATGCATTATTCAGTATGTCAATTGCATTTTTCAACTCTATAATTTCTGTTTGATTCCTTTTAGTTATTTCAATTGTTTTGTTACATTTTTAGGACTCTGATTCCCATAAATAGGATTGTAAATTCCTTCTTTGTGTTATCTTGAATTTCATTGAATTTCCTGAAAACAGCTATTTTGAATTTTCTGTTTGAAAGAAAGGTCATATCTCTCTGTCTCTCCATGATTTGTCCTTGGTGACTTATTTAGTTCATTTAGTGAGGTCATGTTTTCCTGGATGGTTTTGATGCTTGAGGATGTTCATCAGCATCTGAGCATTGAAGATAAGTATTTATTGTAGTCTGGGCCTGTTTGTACCTGTCCTTCTTGGGAAGGCTTTCCAGGTGTACGGTGGGAGTTGGGTGTTGTAATCTAAGTTTTTTGTCACTGTAGTCACATCTTCATTAGGAGGCACCCCAAGCCCTGTCGCGCTGTGGCTCTTGCAGACTCACAGAGGTAAAATCTGGTGGTCTTGGATAAGATGCGGAAGAATTCTCTGAATTACCAGGCAGAGACTCTTGTTCTCTTCCTTTACTTTCTCCCAAACAAATGGAGTCTCTCCCTCTCTCTGTGCTCAGCCGCCTGGAGCTAGGAGAGGGGTAACACAAGCACCCCTGTGGCCACCAACACAGGGACTGCACTAGGTCAGACCTAAAGCCAGCATAGCACTGGGTGTTGCCTAAGGCCCATGGTAACCACTGCCTGTCTACCACCTATGTTGACTCAAGGTGTTAGGGTTCAACAATCAGCAGGTGGTGAAGTCAGCCAGGTTGTGTCCTTCCCTTCAGGGCAGCAAGTTCTCCCTGTCCTGGGCAGGTCCACAGATGTCATCTGGGAGCCAGGGACTGCAGTTGGAAACCTCAGGAATCTACCAGGTTCTGTATTCCACTGAGGCTGTGCTGGAGCCCAAGCAATAAGACAAAGTCCTTTGCACTTCCCTCTCATTTCCACAAGCAGAGGAGTCTCTCCCTACTGCCCAGTACTGTCTCAGGCCTGTGGCAAGTACTGCCTGCCCCAGGGTTCTTCAGTCAGCTTGTATTGAATGCTGCTAGGTTTGGGACTCTCCCTTCAGGCAGTGGGCTCCCCTCTGGCTTAGGGCAGGTCCCGAAATATTGTTTAAGAACCAAGGCCTGGAATCAGGGACCCCAAGAGCCCATTTGGTGCTCTACCTCACTGTGCTGAGCTGGTACCTACGCTGCAAGACAAAGTCTTCATTACACTTGAGAGTACTCCTTTTCTTAAGCAGAAGTAGCCCCTCCCCATAGCCACCACAGCTAGGAATGTGCTGAGTCACAGCTTAAGCCAGCAAGTCTCTGAGTCTCACCCCGTGCCTACAACAAGTACTGCCTGGGTACCGCTACTGATTGTTGAGGGCCCAAGGGCTCTTTGGTCAGCAGGTGATAAATCCTGCCAGGACTGTGTTTTTCCCTTCAAGGCAGCAATTTCCCTTCTGGCTCAGGGTGTTTCTAGAAATGCTATCCAAGAGCTAGGGCCTCACAACTCTGACTGGTTCCCTATTCTACTGTGGTTGAGCTGGTATTGAAGTTGCAAGACAAAGTCATCTTTACTCTTCCCTTGCCCCTGCTCAAGTGGAAGGGAGGAGTTTCTCCCAGAGCTGTGAGCTGCACTGCCTGAGCTTGGGTAAGGGTTGGTGCAAGCACTCCCTTAGCTGCCCCAGCTGGTGTCTCACTAGGTCATGTTGCCCTTCAAGTCCACTGGTTTTGAGCCCAGCATAGCACCAAAACTTTTCCAGGAATTGCTGTTTTCGTGGCCTATTCTGCCTTTCCAGTTTATTTAGAACCCCAGAGCACTTTAGTTCACGGTGATAAGGCTTGCTGGAACTCTGGTCCTGACCACTGGGATAGGCAAATTCCCTCTGGTTACCTCTGGTCTAAATGCTGTCTTCATCAGCATTGATTCTGCCCTGTGTTCTTTCCACTGAGACAGGGCAGCACTGAGTTCCAATGCGAAGTCCCATAATCGCTGTGCTCTCCCTCCCCCAACACACAGATTTCTCTCTCCATGGTATGTGGCCACTGCCGAGAGAGATTGGGGAGGGGTGGTGTCCGCAATTCAAGACTGTCTTTCCTACCTTCTTCAGTGTTGCTTTCAATGATATGAAGTTAAAACCCATACTATGATCGTTCATCTGATTTTTGGTGCTTGTGAAGGTGCTTTTTGGGGTAGATAGTGGTTCAATTTGGTGTTCCCGTGGGGAGGACAATTGATGGAGGCTCCAATTCAGTGATCTTGTTCCACCTCCTGTCTCTCCCGCTTAGTTTTTATTACATAAAAATATTTATGTTTATAATATTTCAATTATGTTCTACAATATAATCATAATTTCCACAAGGGTAATATTCTTCTTTTTTTTTTAATTTTTTTTTATTTTGAGACGGAGTCTCGCTCTGTCGCCCAGGCTGGAGTGCCGTGGCCAATCTCGGCTCACTGTAAGCTCCGCCTCCTGGGTTCCCGCCATTCTCCTGCCTCACCCTCCCGAGTAGCTGGGACCACAGGCGCCTGCCACCATGCTGGCTAATTTTTTTTTGTATTTTTAGTAGAGACAGGGTTTCACCGTATTAGCCAGAATGGTCTCGATCTCCTGACCTTGCGATCCGCCCACCTCGGCCTCCCAAAGTGCTGGGATTACAGGCGTGAGCCACTGCGCCCGGCCATTCATTTTTATATAAATGTATTTAATGTGTTACCAGTCTTTTTGCTTCTCTTTTCCATAGCTCTTTTTATCTCTTTTGATTAGCTGGGTTTTGATGTTAAGTAGTATTTTTCAACTAATGTTCGTGGACATTATCTAACCTGACTTCTTTAATGGTGGAGAATACTTGCTATAACTTGACACCATATATGGCTCATAGAGAAATACTATCACTTCAGGAAATTAAGTATAGAATAAGCATATTTCATTATTAGGGAAGATGTGACATTTAAAATTAGATTTACTTTAAAATTTGTAGAGGGTGGGTACAGTGGCTTATACCTATAATCCCAGAAGTAGGAGGCCAAGGCGAGAGGACTGCTTGAGTCCAGGAGCTCAAGACCAGTCTGGGGAACATATTGAGACCCTGTATTTACAAAAAAAAAAAAAAAAAAAAAAAAAAATTAGCCAGGTGTGCTGGCATGTGCCTATGGTCCCAGCTATGTGAGAGGCTGAGGTGAGAGGATCACCTGAGTCCAGGAGGTTGGGGCTGTAGTGTGCTGTAACTGGGCCATCACACTCCAACCTGAGTGAAACAGTGAGACCCTGTCACAAAAAAAAAAAAAAAAAAAAAGCATTCTCTTTGGTTTCATTACTGTATTTATTATCTGCCTATTGAAAGTTAGTTAATAGCTTTCATTAAAGGAGTTGATAAAAGATGACATGAGATAAATAAAAAGATTAATTATAAAGAGAACAGGAGAGGAGGAAATGATATCAGTAAATGCAGGGTTAAGAATAATCAATAATCATATCAGGCTGGGTACAGTGGCTCACACCTGTAATCCCAGCATTTTGTGAGGCCAAGGCAGGTAGATTGCTTGATTCCAGGAGTTCAAGACAAGCCTGGGCAACATGGCAAGACCCTGTCTCCACAAAAAAAGAAAAAAAAAACAAGAATAATCATAATAATTAAACACAAAAATTAGATCTGTAGACAGAGCATTTACAGACTAATTTTCTAATCATTACTATCAATACATCAGGAGAAACAACATTTTTCTGTAGAGAACTCTGTGAGGAATTTTTCACAAGGGTTGTTATATATGGAGGATTGGAAACATGGCATACACAAAGGATGAATAACATAGCAAATGTCTGTAGTATCCCCACAACCATTATCCATTCATAACCTAATGCCGTGCTTGCTTCAGATATTTTTGTTTCAGAAATAAAATAGAAGAATACAAATTATGCTTCCTAAATGCTATTTCTCACTCAAAGGCATCAGAGCTTCTTAGATAAATGGTTGGTTTCAGATCTGAGGCAGGAAATGAAAAATGAGCCTGGAACATGTTGTTATGCTAGAAAGCAAGAATGCACGCGGAGACTACTAACTTGAAGGCAATTTGAAGGGCCTTTCACTGGCCAAGATATTTTGGGAATCAATAAGAGTAACTGCAATGTAGTAAATACATTATGTGTTTAAATCCATGAGTCTATGAAGATTAACAATTCATTGGCCAGTCACCTTTGGATTGTGATATAGAATCACACTTGTTATTTTGAAAACAAAGGAAAAGAATCTAGCAGTTACTCTGCCTGTTTTGAACATACTGGACCTTGAGGTGAACAAATTCTTAATGAAGTGTTCTCTTTAAATAAAATTTCCAGCTAATAAATTAAGAAGGAATTATAAATTTAGCCTACTACACATTTGTAACCCCTAATGAAATACTTAATGGGTCTAGTAATAATCATCAAAAGAAGAGAGAAAATCAGGTATTTGGAGCTTCCTAACGGAAGTATACAACACCTAGGATGTACTCTTGTCAAATGATTGGACTTGAATCTACTCAAGTTTTTAGATTTATAATTTTGCATTAAACAATGGAAGGCAAAAGGATGTGGTTAACGAAACTATTAAGACGCAATCATGTAGAACATAACAATCTGTTTCTTAAGTAAATCAATTGTGTAGTAGTTTGCTGGGCTGCCATAATAAAGTATAATACTTGATTTAAACAACAGAAATTTATTTTCTCACTGTGTCTCTTTGTGTTTCCGAATTTCCTCTTCATATAAGAACACCACAAACCTGACAAAAACAAGCAATGGGGAGGGATTCCCTATTTAATAAATGGTGCTGGGAAAACTGGCTAGCCATATGCAGAAAACTGAAACTGGACTCCTTCCTTACACCTTATACAAAAATTAACTCAAGATAGATTAAAGACTTAAATGTAAAACCCAAAACCATAAAAACCCTAGGAGAAAACCTAGGCAATACCATTCAGGACACAGGCATGAGCAAAGACTTCATGACAAAAACACCAAAAGCAATTGCAACAAAAGCCAAAATTGACAAATGGGATCTAAGTAAACTAAAGAGCTTCTGCACAGCAAAAGAAACTATCATCAGCTGGGCATGGTGGCTCACGCCTGTAATCCCAGCACTTTGGGAGGCTGAGGCGGGTGGATCACCTGAGGTCAGGAGTTCCAGACCAGCCTGACCAACATGGAGAAACCCTGTCTGTCTCTACTAAAATTACAAAATTACCTGGGCGTGGTGGCGCATGTCTGTAATACTATGTGGCCATAAAAAAGAATGAGTTCATGTCCTTTGGAGGGACATGGATGAAGCTGGAAGCCGTCATTCTCAGCAAAGTAACACAGGAACAGAAAACCAAACACTGCATGTTTTCACTCATAGGTGAGAGTTGAACAGTGAGAACACATGGACACAGGGAGGGAACATCACACACCAGGGCCTGTTGGGGAGTAGGGAGCAAGGAGAGGGAAAGCATTAGGACAAATACCTAATGCATGCGGGGCTTAAAACCTAGATGACAGGTTGATAGGAACCGCAAACCACCATGGCATGTGTATACCTATGTAACAAACCTGCACATTCTGCACAGATACCCCAGAACTTAAAGTAAAATAAAAAGAAAAAAAAAAAACACCAGTCAGGTTGGATTAAGGCCCACCCTAAAGACCTCATTTAATGTAATCACTTCTTCAAAAACCCTGTCTACAAATACAGTCACATTCTGAGGTATTGAAGATAGCACTTCAACATGAATTTCTCAAGGACACACTGCTGTCCATAACAAACTGTAAGGGGGAAATAAGAGAGTGTGAGTGGGATCCTTTAACTAAACAAGTCTGAGACACATCGGCCAAAAGTAATACGGACATTATTTGGATTTTGATTTGAAAATTTAAACATTAAAAATTATGAGACAATCAGTGATATTTGTTTTCTTTTTTCTTGTAGCGACAGGGTCTCGCTACATTTCCCGGGCTGTTCTCAAACTCCTGGGCTCAAGTGATCTTCCCATCTCAGCCTCCCAAAGTGTTGGGATTACAGGTATGAGCCACCATGCCTGGCCAAAAATTAGAGATATTTGAACAATGACTGGATATTTCATGCTATTGAGAAAATTTCAATCCCTGGCACTTCCACTAAAATAAAATAAATGTAAAAATAAATTGTCCATTGTTTAGATGTGATAATAGTGTTGGGGTTTGCTTGAAAAATAGAATCCATATCTTTTATAGAGATCTGAAAATAGTTACGAATAAAATTAGGCATTCGGAGCTTCCTAATGGAAGTATACAACACCTAGAATGCATTATTGTCAAGTGATTGGACCTGAATCTACTCAAGTTTTTAGATTCATAATTTTACAGTAAACAATGGAAGGCAAAAGGATGTGGTTAATGAAGCTATTTAGATGCAATCACACAGAACATAATTCCATTTCCTAAGTAAATCAATTGTGTAGTAGTTTGCTTTCTGAAATTTGTTTCAAAATAATCTGTGGGAAAGAGGGAAAAAAGGCAGGTATCAATGAAACAAAGATTGGCCACTAGTTGAAGATTGATACATAGGGGTTTGTCATACTATGCTTTCTACTTTGGAGATGTTTCAAAATTTCCATAATAACAAGAAAAAGTGAATATGATGACCAATACAATTGAGGACTTCCATTTTTAGCAATATTGCAGTGTTAGAAATTCTGAAACCACTTGACCTACATAATAATGAAAAATACTTAATGTGTTAAAAACTGCTTTTCAATGTTTAGATGAGTCCACTAAGATCACTAATGGAACAGGAGCAGAGACCAGGCAATTAAGCTACCCTTCAAAGTCCCTGTGTGCCTTGAGCCCTACAATGCTATTTATGACCTAAAAAGTTCACTACACAGAGAAGACAGGGAACAAAGCCCTGAATCCACACAGAATGGAAGCTTATCTTCATGCATACTGTCTGGAGCTCAGAATGGGCAAGCCAGAAAAAAACCCCTCCTGCAAAATAGAGAATACATTTCCATCTTGGGCTGGGCTATGAATGGAAGTTTAAAAAAAGAAGAAATAAAGCCTCCTCTAAGAATTTGTAGCCACTGACCAGATCTTAAGTGGTTTGGGATCTGAATCTACATTCTTTGTATGATTGAAAAACCACAAGTCTATACTTTATTTACTTATTAATTTAATTAATTAATTAATTTTTTTTTTTTTCCCTGAGACAGAGTCTTGCTCTGTCTCCCAGGCTGGAGTGCAGTGGCGTGACTCGGCTCACTGCAACCTCTGCCTCCTTGGTTCAAGTGATTCTCCTTCTTCAGCCTCCTGAGTAAGCTGGGATTACAGGCGGGTGCCACTGTGCCTGGTTCATTTTTGTATTTTTAGTAGAGACGGGGTTTCACCAGGTTGGCCAGGCTGGTCTCAGGTGATCCGCCCAGCTCCGCCTCCCAAAGTGCTGGGATTATAGGCATGAGCCACTAGGCCCAGCAATTTTTTTTTTTTTTGTGACGGAGCTTTGCTCTTGTTGCCCAGGCTGGAGTGCAGTGGTGTGATCTTGGCTCACTGCAACCTCTGCTTCCCAGGTTCAAGGATTCTCCTGCCTCAGCCTCCCGAGTAGCTGGGATTACAGGCACCTGCCACCATGCCCAGCTCATTTTTGTATTTTTAGTAGACACGGAGTTTCACCATGTTGGCCAGGCTGGTCTCGAACTCCTGACCTCAGGTGATCCATGTGCCTTGGCCTCCCAAGTGCTGGGATTACAGGCATGAGCCAACGCACCCAGCCTTATTTATTTTATTTTAGAGATGGGGTCTTGCCATGTTGCCCAGGCTGGAGTGCAGAATCCACTTGCAGGCACAATCATAGCACACTGTGGCCTGGAACTCCTTTGGCCTCAAGTGATCCTCCTGCTTCGACCTTCTGAGTAGCTGGGATTACAGGCACATGCCATCATGCTGGGCCCCACAGGTCTGTAATTCAAAGGCTGTCAGGATGGGTAATATTCCCAGGTGTCTTAAAGCAAACACAAACTTTCCCAGATAAATGTATCCTCCTCAATCCTCAAAGAATTCCTACAGAGAGGCAGCCAACAAAAAATTCATAATAATAAAAAAAGAGATCAAGCAAGCCATAGATAATACAACCAGAAACACAAAGACTTTGGATATTATAATTATCAGAATTAAAGTAAATAACTCTGCTTGAAATGTTTTAAAATGTGAAGATGGCATTGAAAACATGAGGAAGAACAGGAGACAATCAAATAATTAGCCAATTTGAAAAAGAACGAATCAGACCTTGAAGTCATCTCTAGCTTCTTTGTCTTTCACCTTCAGTGTTCTCAGTCACCAGCTTCTGTAAATTCTTCATTTACAATGTTTCTTTGATGCCTCTTTTCTCAGTTTAAGTCATCTCTTTAGTTCAATCATTTTTTTTTTAAATTTCCAGACTGATCTCTGCCTTCCCACATCCCCCCATCCATTCTATACATGAACAGAATAACCTTTCTTTTTTTTTTTTTTTTAACTTTTACTTTAGGTTCAGGGGTATATGTGAAGGTTTGTTGTATAGGTAAACTCGTGTCATGAGGGTTTGTTGTGCAGGTGATTTCATCAACCAGGTATTAAGCCCAGTACCCAAGTTATTTTTTCTGCATCTCTCCCTCCTCTCAACCTCCACCCTCAAGTAGACCCGTGTCTGTTGTTTCCTTCTTTGTGTTCATGAGTTCTCATCCTTTAGCTCCCATTTATAAGTGAGAACATGTGATATTTGGTTTTCTGTTCCTGCGTTAGTTTACTAAGGATAATAGTCTCCGGCTCCATCCGTGTTCCTGTAAGACATGATCTCATTCCTTTTTATGGCTGCATAGTACTTCATGGTGTATATGTCTTACACCCTCATGGTATATACATATATACCAGTGCATTTTCTTTATCCCATCTGCTAATTATGGGCATTTAGGTTGATAAGATTAACCTTTCTAAAACGTTAGGTTTATAACTGAAAGAGGAGCCGGTCGCTCGCTGCCTGTGGAATGAAGACAAAATAACAAGAGTGAGGTATGATAAAGAGTGAATTTTATTATCCATTGACAGCAAGGAGGAAAGTGGTCAGAATACTTTACAAAAATTTCCACTTTCCAATTTCTGGAGAGAGGGCAGGGGTTTCAGAAGAGGGGCTTTGAATGCCGGAGAGGCAAGGGGGCTAGTAGGTGCCAGGTGGCGTGGGCTTGCCCTAGTAGCTTATCTTGAATTATTGTTCCATCTGGTGAAGGGGCCAGCACCTTCGTGGGCTCATCCAAGTTACAAATCAATCCCAGTCAGTCTTGCAGTCAATATCTATCTGGGAGTGAACCCTGGCCTAGAAGTCATCTCCGGCTGGGAAGAGAATCCCAGAAGTGCCTGTTTTTGTGTCAGGATTAGGCCCCTGAAGCTTCTAAAGAAATATATGACCAGATAAGTGAGTATGATGTGAGCTTAACAAGCATCCAGGTAAATAAATGTGCATAAGGCATGAGAGCATAAGGTGGGAAAGGGAAGGGAATAGAGTGTTAAAACACATTCAAAGGCATATTTCAAGACAACAGAAAACACATCTGTGGTTTGTCTCAAAGCTGTGTCTTGAGACTGGCAAGAAAGGAGGAAAGAAAAAAAGGTTTAAAAATGCAGCTTTTTTTTTTTTTTTTTTTGAGACGGAGTCTCACTCTGCTACTCAGGCTGGAGTGCAGTGGCACAATCTCGGCTCACCGCAACCTCCGCCTCCCGGGTTCAAGCAATTCTTCTGCCTCAGCCTCCCGAGTAGCTGGGACTACAGGCGCATGCCACCATGCCTGGCTAATTTTTGTATTTTTAGTAGAGACGGGGTTTCACCATGTTGGCCAGGCTGGTCTCGAACTCCTGACCTCAGGTGATCCACCCACCTCGGCCTCTCAAAGTGCTGGGAATACAGGTGTGAGCCACTGTGCCTGGACCTGTGTCTTGTTTCTCTTCTTTAGTGCCAAACATGGGACCTAATGTAAGGGAGCCCTCAAAAAAACATTGCTTAATGAGGGGTTAGATGACATCTGCTTGAGGAAGAAACGGAATCATCGTTTACTTACTTTCTTCTACAATATTGATCTTCTTGCTATTTTTCTGGTTTGTTTGTGCCGTTTGGAGCATAATCAAAGGGAGAAAATAGTTTCACATTTTGGGCCTCCATTTAGCCATACTTGTGGATGATGGGTTTAACTGACCATTAGAACTCTTTTCTAATCTAACACTTTAGGGTGTATTGCCAAACTGGAAAGGACCCAAAGGCCCATCAAAAGTAGATAAATAAATTACACTGTACTCATAAAGTGGAATCCTCATAAAGATAAGAATGAATAAGCCTTTATGACCTGCAAAATATATGAATTTCATGCCGATAATATTCAACAAAAGAAGACAGTCTCAAAATGGTAACTACTTGCTTGGTTGGGCATGATGGCTCATGCCTGTAATGCCAGCACTTTGGGAGGCTGAGACGGGTGGATCATGAGGTCAGGAGTTCCAGACCAGCCTGGCCAACATGGTGAAACCCCATCTCTACTAAAAATACAAAAATTAGCCGGGCATGGTGGTGCATGCCTGTAATCTCAGCTACTCAGGAGGCTGAGGCAGGAGAATTGCTTGAACCCAGGAGGCCATGGCTGCAGTAACCTGAGACTGTGCCACTGCACTCTAGTCTGCGTGACAGAGTGAGACCTTGTCTCAAAAAAAAAAAAAAAAAGATAACTACTTCATTTATATACAGTTTTAAACAGACACAACTAATATATAATGATAGAAGTCAGAATGGATGGGATGACCTTTGGGAGTGATGACCTTTAATGGTAATAGATGTTACCTTTGGAAGGGATGGAGCTTGAGGGAGGCTTCTGTGGCATTGCTAATACAATTTTTTTTTTTTTAATCTGAGTGACAGGTATACAGGTGTGTTCACTTTGTAAATATATATCAAGCTGTCCACTTAGATTTCCTGTACTTTTTTGGTATGTTGTACTTCCCTACAAAATTTAGTTAAACAAAAGACTTATGTATGTTATACTTCCCTACAAAATTTAGTTAAACAAAAGACTTTTATAGGTACTGAAATGTAGTTTGGTGAATTCTTAACATTTAACCTTTTAGCTTAATCTGCAGAGACAAATGTTATATACTCTACTGTACTATCTGACTCTGCAGGTTAATTATCAATACGTAGTTTTTTTTTTTTCACTGCAGTCTAATTTTTAGAAGTGAACTTTATAACCAAATAAACTTTATAACCAAATGAACTTTTTTTTTTTTTGAGAGGAAGCCTAGCTCTGTCACCAGGGTGGAGTGCAGTGGCGAGATCCCAGCTCACTGCAACCTCTGCCTCCTGGGTTCAAGCGATTCTCCTGCCTCAGCCTCCTGAGTAGCTGGGACTACAGGCGCATGCCACCATGCTCAGCTAATTTTTGTATTTTTAGTACAGATGGGGTTTCACCATGTTGGCCAGGATGGTCTCAATCTCCTAACCTCATGATCCACCCGCTTCAGCCTCCCAAAGCGCTGGGATTACAGGTGTGAACCACTGCACCTGGCCCTAAATAAACTTTATAACCAAATGAATTACTTCTTAATTGGTCTCTTGTCTGCTGTATAAAGCAAATTACATGAACCAAGGTGTTCTGGCTCCAGCATCTGGGCTCTTACTACCCCCACAATCCCCTGCCCCCTCCCCGATGCTGTCTCTCTCTGTGTAAAACCCACCTTCTCTTCACTTTCCATGTCTAAAAGACTTTGACGCCTGCTTTTTGACATTTCTCGTCTCTCCAAGATTATTGCTATCTTGGTAACTTCTCTGTTTATTTTGATGATCATCCCATCACCCTAGCTTCTGTGCTCTCTGATCTCAACTCCATCTCCAGGATAGGCAGAATTCTAAAGATCTCCCTCTCCCCTAACCCCTACAATTCCAGTTCATTCCCTGGTTATTTCATCAAGCACTAATCTAGGTACTGATCTGAAGGATTTTGAAGTTATAACTAAAGTCCTAAGTCAGATGACTCTAACATATCAAGATTGTAAAGGTGGGCCTGATTTAATCACATAAGCCCTTTAAAAGGCAGAAAGAGCCTGGGCGCAGTGGCTCATGCCTATAATCCCAGCACTTTTGGGAGGCCAAGGTGGGTGGATCACCTGAGGTCAGGAGTTCGAAACCAGCCTGGCCAATATGGTGAAACCCCCGTCTCTACTAAAAATAACAAAAATTAGCTGGGCATGGTGACGCATGCCTGTAGTCCAGCTACTCGGGAGGTTGAGGCAGGATAATTGCTTGAGCCTGGGAGGCGAAGGTTGCAGTGAGCCGAGATTGTGCCACTGTACTCCAGCCTGGGCAACAGGGCGAGACTCCATCTCAAAAAAAAAAAAAAAAAAAAAGGCAGAAGGGACAGTTGGGTTCAAAGTTTGAGAAGGACTCAAACTGTTTTGAAAGTGGAGGGGCCACATGGGAAGAAATGCAGGCAGCCAAGAGGAGCTGAGGGTGCCCCTGGTTGACATTCAGCAAGGACACAGGAAACTCAGTCTTGGAACCAAAAAGAAATGGATTCTGCCAACAACCTTACTCTGCTTGGTTCTTTAGAGAAGAGTGTCCAGCTAAGAGTTCATTTCAGCTGGCTGACACTTTGACTTGGCCTGTTGATACCCTGAGCAAAGCCTAACCTAGCCTAGACTTCTGACCTCCACAATTGGGAGATAATAAATGGGTATTGTTTTAAGACATTAACTTGATGGTAATTTGTTACTCAAGCAATAGAAAACAAATACACTTCCCTTCCATTTCCATAACCTCACTCTCGTGTTCAAACCGTGGGACCTTATCAAAACCTGGAATGTGAATATTAAATGCCAGTATCCCACTCAGTGACCTGATCCTCCTGTTTCAACTTTTGCCATCTGCATGTGACCCCTCCATGTACTTTCTTTCTCTCTGTCTATTCCTGGCTTCGCTTTCCTATGATGATGAATCACTTCACTCACATGACTCCTTTGCTTCATCTTTCTATTGCCTTACCCACCCAACAAAACTGTACCCTAGAATTTATCTAACCCTTTACCTTCACATCTTTGTGAATGAGAAAGCCATGCCCATTTGCAGCTTTCAAACCACTGTTTACAGAGTCCCATCCCAAGTAGTAGGGGCCTTGGTGTTGCTGTGCGAGCTCTATGTCTCATATTAGTGTTGGGAGGAAAAACTTCCTCTGCCAACTTAGGTCCAGTGCTTGGGGGCCTGTAAATTAATTGGCAATAGATGGATTAACAGGAGAATAGACAAGGTTTATTTACACTTACTCAGGTGAAGAGGCTCTCTGTACAGTTAGGGATGAGAATTTATATGCCAATAATATGGGAAAAGGGAGGAGGAGAGAAAGGGTTCTATGGGAAAGCAAATATACTTTTGTGGAAAGACAAATGGGCTTTTAGGGAAACAAATGATGGTACGACAATTTGTGATTATGTTCGGTTATGCAATTCGTCATTCAGGTGCAAGTGGTCTCCTTCCTGGCAGTAAAGTCTCCTTACTGGCAGTGAAGCTCCCCAAGAGGGAATTTATGGCAGCTTCACTCTCTGAAAGCTCTGGCTTTAGTCAAATAAGGGAAGCTCCAGAAAGGCTTCTTTCTGTATCTGCTGTGTCTTAAATGTTTCAGTTTAAAATACTCTTCATACCAACTCAGTGGGTGCCAGTGGGTCCCTCCATTAGCATCCTCTTCCATTTCCTTGGGGCCTTGTGGTGAGCAGAAAAATGGCCTCTCAAAGGTGTCCATGTCTTATTCCCTAGAATGTGAATGATAGGTTACTTTAGCAAAGGAGAATTAAGGTTCCAGATGAAATGAAGATTGTTAATCTAATGATTTTCTCTCTCTCTTTTTTTTTTTTGAGATGGAGTCTCACTCTGTTGCCCAGGCTGGAGTGCAGTGGCACAATCTTGGCTCACCACAACCTCCGCCTCCCGGGTTCAAGCGATTCTCCTGCCTCAGCCTCCCGAGTAGCTGGGACTACAGGCGCATGCCACCATGCCCGCTTAATTTTTGTATTTTTAGTAGAGACAGTGTTTCACTATGTTGGCCAGGCTGGTCTTGAACTCCTGACCTCGTAATCCACCCGCCTCGGCCTCCCAAAGTGCTGAGATTACAGGCGTGAGCCTGCCCAGATGAATGTACCTGGCCCAAATAACTTTAAAATAGGGAGATTATCCTGGCTTACCCAGTGGGCCTATTGTAATAACAATACTTAAAGGTGGAAGAGGGAGGCAGAAGAAAATCAAAGATGTGATGACAGAAGCAGGGTCACAGGGCTGCTATGCTGCTGGCTTTGAAGATGGAGAAAGAGGCCAAGAGCCAAGGAATGCAGGTGGCCTCTACAAGATTGAAAAGGTTCCAGAAAGGAACACAGACCTGCTGACATTTTGATTTTAGACCACTAGACCCATTTTAGACTTCTGACCCATAGAAATGTAATATACTTGTGTTGTCTTAAACCACTAAGTTTGTGGCTATTTGTTATGGCAGCAATAGAAAACGAATAGAAGTCTATTCAAATATTCATCATTTTTCCAAATCCCAAATCAGCCATTCACACCCATACCCTCAGCACATCCATCAACTTCAGAGAGAAAGTATAGTTATGGGCCAGATATTTATTTCAATTTTCTCTAATTAAAACATTTACCTCGGCCAGATGTGGTGGCTCACACCTATAATCCCAGCACTTTGGGAGTCCAAGGCAGGCAGATCCCTTCGAGGCCAGGAGTTCAAGACCAGCTGAGGCAACATGGTGAGACCCCATCTCTACTAAAAATACAAAAGTTAGCCAGGCATGGTGATGCATGCCTGTAATCCCAGCTACTTGGGAGGCTGAGGCAGGAGAATTGCTTGAACCCAGGAGGTGGAGGTTGTGGCGAGCTGAGATTGTGCCACTGCACTCCAGCCTGGGCAACAGAGTGAGACTCTGTCTCAAAAACAAACAACAACAACAACAAAAAATCCATTTACCTCCATGAGGATACATCCAACTTCCTTCCCTTTTGTTACAATTTTTTAAAAAGTTTCTGTATTAGTCTGTTCTCATGCTGCTAATAAAGACATACCCGAGACTGGGTAATTTATAAAGGAAAGAGGTTAATTGACTCACAGTTCAGCCTGGCTAGGGAGGCCTCAGGAAACTTACAATCATGGCAGAAGGGGAAGCAAACACATCCTTCTTCACATGGCGGCAGGAAGGAGAAGTGCCGAGCAAAAGGGGAAAAGCCCCTTATGAAACCATCAGAGCGCGTGAGAACTCACTATCAGAACAGCAGCATAGGAATAATTACCCCTGTGATTCGATTACCTCCCACCAGGTCCCTCCCGCAACACGTGGGGATTATGGGAAGTACAATTCAAGATGGGCTGGGAGCCGTAGCTCACGCCTGTAATCCTAGTACTTTGGGAGGCCGAGGTGGTGGATCACCTGAGGTCAAGAGTTCGAGACCAGCCTGGCCAACATGGCAAAACCCTGTCTCTACTAAAAATACAAAAATTACCAGGCATGGTGGCAAGTGCTTGTAATCCCAGCTACTCAGGAGGCTGAGGCAGTAGAATCGCTTGAACCCGCAAGGCAGAGGTTGCAGTGAGCTGAGATCACACCATTGCACTCTAGCCTGGGTGACAGAGCAAGACTCCGTCTCAAAAAAAAAAAAGGTGAGATTTGGGTAGGGACACAGCAAAACCATATCAATTTCCTTTTTAAAAAAAATATATAAAGGCAATTTTATAACTTATTTGATGTATTTGATGCTCAGTGGTTAGTTCTCATCCACATTGACTATCTGCAGATTTTTGAAAATGGTAACAAGTATATAGGTAACCAGGAATGTAACAAAATATAGAGCTTGTTTGGTGATTCTTTACCCTCATTACATTTTCTGAACAACTGCACACAGATGCGGTATGGAACATTCCTTATT